>NC_000005.10:97079503-97382534 GCF_000001405.40 Homo sapiens | reverse complement strand
AGAGAATAAAAAAATAAAATAAAATAGAATTTCAAAAAAAAGTGACATCTTCAAAATCATCTTCAGATACTCTTTTCTTATTACAAAGAACTATGAACCTCTGAATTTTGCATTTATCTAAGTAGCACTGGACTTAGCTTTATAAAGACTTGAAAAGAGGCATATAAGCTTCTCTTCAATCAAGGATATCTACATAAAGAATCAAGACACATCTTTTTTAAAGTAATAAAATAAAATACCATGTTAAGTGGCTAGAATAAAGTAAAAAATAAAGGGAGCTAACCTTTTTTGAAAGCCATGTAGTTTACATCCCACATCTCACTGAATCTGCTCAGCAGCCCCATTTTTACAGATCAGAGAGGTTATCAAGAGGTCATCTTCCCAACAGGTGAGGCTAAGCCTGGACTCAGGAGCTAGAAATTCAAATGCTAGTGCTGCCTCTAAAGGCTTTGTGATCTTAGGCAAATGGTAAGCCTCTTTAAGTCTCAGTTGCTTCATCTGTTAAACTGGGAATATAACAGTGTTTGATAAACACAGATGCTGTGAAGGAAAACTAAAAAGTATGTGTGAAATAATTACACCCTATTTACTTGAAGTATGTTCTGAGGAATTCTAGTCCTGGAAGATTGTTGTGACCACAAATGGATCTACAGTCTTATAGATTGATTCTTGGGAATGACTATGTATAATTTTTACCCTTTGGAGATTTATAGTGTTCATTAAGACTCTGAGAAATCCTGCAGTCAAATATTTAAAAATGTAGCTTTAACTTCACTTAACCCATAAGTTTTCAAATTTATTTTTACATAGACTATCGTTTTACTCGTTTCCCTTTCATTACTTTTCCTATCGTTTATTCTTTTTCTTCCTTTCTTTGTTCCTTTTTATGGAGCATCTAAGCCCCTCTATCCAAAGAAAAATACTCCACAGAATATTCTCCAGGAAGCACTTTATAATACAATTAGCTGGCATTCATAGCAGGCATGAGAGATTCAAACAATTAGCAATATAAAAGTTCAAATACGGAAAAGGTACATGAGAAATGGCATGACCCAAGAGGCTTTACAAAAGAAATAAACTTCATGCAGAGATACAAACTTAGACAAACAGAATAAAAAGGAGACTTACACAGGCAGAGTAAACACAGTTCAAATGGAGAGTTTGTAAAGGTTATAATATTGATGGTGATGCCAGATATCATGGCTATTGCATACCAAATACATAATATTCATCAGGCATTATCTCATTTAGCAGGTGAGAAGTTTAGTGAAGTAGACCAGGACCAAATTTGGGAAACTCTGAGTACCTTCTTATATAGCTATCTTCCTGATAAAATCCATGGGGAATTTAAGTGTTCAATCATTCAAAAAGCATTCATTGAAAACTGCTCCTCAAAGCAATATGCTAGATACTTTGTGTAAGAGGAGTAAAGAATTAGTATGCTGAAAGCAAATTAGAAGGCAGTAAGTTGGAGGGAGGAGAATATAGGTAGGGAGACGAGCTAGCAAGCTATCATGTGAATCAAGGTATAAAATGATGAGGGCCTGGAGACAGAGTTAAGGTGGAAAACAAAGAAAAAGATTAGGTGAGAAATCAGTTCTGGGTGTCACATGATTAAGGAAGAGTGATAATTGTGACTAAGAATGGGTTAGCCCTCTAAAGCAGGATCTTTAAACTGCAGATTTTGGTACATTAGGGTTTGTGAAATGGGTTTAATGGATCACAACCAATATCTTACTGCATTCAAAGAAAAAGAAAAGAAAACAGCAGAGTGTACCTACACACTAAGTATTGTTTCATGAAACTTTTATTTCAGAACTACGTACTACACATGTGTGCACTGGGTCATATGTAGTTAAAAACTTTAAGATTCTATGCAAATAAAGAATGAAATAAAGCAGTGAAATCAGAAAAATGAGAGAATTTTAAGGAGATGATATCACATACCAATTATAAAAGAACTAAACACAATGATTTCTCAGAGAAAATTATTGGGCTTACATAAAATAGGGTCAATCAGAAAAGAGCAGACACTAGACTACTAAGAAATATCATATTTTTTTTATTCATAGCATATTAACTTAGTAAACTAATGTACCTCAATCATGTGTAAAGATGACCAAATATTTTGAATTACCCTCATGTCTCTGATAGACTTTTCTTTTCTTAGTTTCGTGTTAATAATAACTCAAGTATTTAAGATCTGTAATGTATAATATTGAGAAAATCTGTAATTTATGAAAATATGACCCTTAAAAACCAAAAATAAATCACTAGCTGTATAGGCATGCAGAAAGTATCCTTAAAAGGATTAAGATCCAGTTCCATTCATACCAAAAGCCTTGGACAAGGCAAAAGTTATGCTATTCTTCCAAAAACTGTACCTTGATTTCTGTTTATTATCCTTTCCGTTCAAATACTGCATCAAGCACAAGCTATTTTAAAACATTGAAAATATTGCTTTAGGTTAAGAAGAGATAAGGGACTTAGCTGTTACTGTCAGTTGTTTGTGCATTACTCTGACATTTTACAAGACAAGGCATTTGGCCATCTCTGGTTGTCTAGATCTGCAATGGATGTATTTCAATGAATACTAAATTCAAAGAAAATTTATTGAGTTTCTAGTATGTAGATATTTCAACAATATTGTCGTTTCTTGTACATAAGAAATTAACAATCCCGTAGGAGTTCCAATTATATAATGAACCACGATTAAGGCAGAGTATGCTATGTGCCATGCTATAGATAAAATCCAGGGTCAAAAGGGTTTCAGAGAATAAAGATACATTTTATTTTTCACTAGGATGATTGATGAAGACTTTATAAGAGATGTGACACTTTAACTGGTTCTTGAAAAACAATAGAATTCTGACAGGTCAAAATTAGAAGTAGGGATTAATGATGTAAGAAGATAAACAAGATGAGGAAAAGGAGAGATGAAGATTCACAGTCAACCAATTTGAATATATCATAAGGTATATGTGCAGAAGGGTGGATGATGCTGTAATGAGCTACCCAGATCACCCTCAGGAATGAAGGACCTACATTCCAGTTTCTGGAAATTCTGCCAACTTACAGCCCTTAGATGTCAGCTCTCTCCAAAAATATCCTATGCCTAAAAAGAGCCACCTGAATCAAGGTCACTCTCTCATCATGGGCCCGCCAATGTTTAATGATTGACTGATGCAGAAGTACAAAGGCACTCACTGGATGCAGGACAATTCTGACAGCTATCCCAGCTTCAGAGATCCTGGTTCAGCTGAAGCCTTTGTTGAGACCACATCACATCTCAACTTCTACTTCTGCCAAACTCTGTTTCATTTACTTCCCTTACCTCCACAGGAGTTGATCCCAACAGTGCTTCCTAACAAACTTCCTGCACACTAATATCCATCTCAGAGTCCTTATTTGGGAGGCCAACCTATGACAAGAAGCATTAGTAGAGATTTCTGATTTTTAAGATGAAGAACAGAAAGCATTCTACTCTTTCTATTCATTTTGTCCTCCAAGATACTTCCCAGAACTCACAAGTAGACAAAGAAATAGAAATTCCATATTCATTAAAACCAGGAGATATATTTGAACTCAAAATATAATATAGAAAGAAGGAAAATAAAGACCAGTGCATTTAGCAAAATATTGGCTTGTTAGACTTCAAAGCACTCAGAAGAGAATAACTAAAAAACAATTTGCCCCACATATCCATGAAGATTGTTTAGGGACTGAACTTTGTCCCCCCAAAACCACATGTTAAAGTCTTAAATGCCCAGTCCCCAACCCAGTACCACAGAATGTAACTGTGTTTGGAGAGAGAATCTTTATAGAGATAGGTAATTAAGTTAAAATGAAGTCCTAGGTGGGCCTTAATACAATATGACTTGTGTGCTTAGAAGAGGAAATTAGGACACAGAAACATACAGAGGGAAGGTTATGTAAAGACACAGAAAGAAGACAGTGATTTACAAGCCAAGAAGAGAGCCCTTCAGAAGAAACCAACCCTGCCAACACTTTGATCTTGAACTTGACTCAGGAACTATGAGAAAATAAATTCTGTTATTCAAGTCACCCTGTCTACTGTGTTTTGTTATGATGGCCCAAGAAGACTATGGGTCTTATCTAATATCTCACGCCTAAAGATCTTAAGCTGTTTGAGAAAACTCAAAAGAACAATTAAAGCAAGAAAATACAAAGGAAACACAACCAGCATAGAATATAACAGCAAGCTTTAAAGTAATCATCTTCAATATTCTAAGAGAGATAAGAGAACAAATTATATCAAGAAACAAGATATAGATTGCTATGAAAATAAAAAAATTTCTTTTAAATTAAAAAATGTAACAGATAGAATTAGAAAAAATTAATAGCATACTCACAAAATAAATTTAGAAATTAGAAATTTTCCCAAAAAAAATCAATGAAAAGAAAAGAGTTAGAGAATAGGAGAGAAAAGAAAATTAAAAGACCAGTTGAGGAAGGCCAATATTCAGCTAAAAGGGAGACCATGTGACATTGCTCTAGCTAATAAGATGTAAATGGAACTCATTATTAGGTAGAGCTTCTAGGAAAATATTTTAAAAGAAAAAAGACTCAGAGAGCTCAAGCTTTCTGCTTGTTTTCATTCTTTCTTCCTGTCTGAAATATAGATGAATGCTGAAAATAAAGCATTAATCTTGCAACCTAGAAGTGACCTGCATGATACAAATAGCCACATGAAAACAATTGGAAAGTCAGAATGAAACTTGTGTCCCAAATGGCATAGTGAAGCCTATTCATCATCACTGAGCTGCTATTTCTGGACTTCTTACTATACGGGTAACATTGAACTTCTTGGCACAGTGTAGCCAAGTCTTCCATAATTAGCCAGTGTAATCTATTTCATTATTATAGTATACTATTTGACTCAGCAGATACTTAAAACATCATAAAAATAGAAACTCTAAATATTAACTTAACAAAAACTATAATGTAACCAAAAATAGTATATATTAGAAATGTGGGGATGTATTAGAGTTCTCCAGAGAAACAAAACCAATAGGAGATAGATATAATAGATATAATAGATAGATGATAGATAGATAGATAGATAGATAGATGATAGATAGATAGATAGATAGATAGATAGATAGATAGATAGATTGATGTGGAGAGAGAGGTTGTGAGAAATTGGCTCACATGATTTTAGAGGATAAGAAGTCCCATGATCTACCATCTGCACATAAGTAAGTATATTCCAGGCCAAGGCAGGAGAAGCTGCAATGAGAAGTTCCAGCTCATACAGTGAGGCAGGAAAAAAAAAGGGCAAATTCCTCCTTCCTCTACCTTTTGTTCTATTCAGGCCCTCAACCCTGAACAGATTAAATGATGCCCACTCACATTGCGGAAGAGTATCTACTTTACTCAGTCCACTGATTCAAATACTAATCTCATCCGGAAACTCCCAGAGATACACTCAAAATATTTAACCTGGATACCCCTTGGTCCAGTCAATTTGACACATAACATTAATCATCACAGGGGAGTTGCAAGATAGCAAAAATCCTGATCTATGATATTCAAGTTCAAATAAATGCCTTAAACTAATTAATCGAGAGAAAGAAATGTAAGTATATAACTTAAAAATATAAAGTAACTATTATAAAAGAGTGAAAGTGGCTGCCAAAGGAAGCTATAGTTTGAAAATAAAAAGACATGAAGCAGGTGAATGAATTTTTAATTTTAATCCTTTTGACACTGTTAGACTTTATTAAATGTTCTGCATGTATTTTTTTTTTTAATTTAGAAAGTATTTGAAGATGAGGAATGAATTCCAGTAGTCCTTAACTAAGCCCTTATCCTCTAGCCTTCAGACTTAAAAAATTTAATAAAGGTCACTCTCATTTTGTCAAATGGCCAATGAACATTTTAAGTCAGCACTCCAAGCGACTTCACATATAAAATCAGAAAAGTACAAATGATTTTAAATTTCACAGTACTCTTTTAGGATGGTTGGTATTCAAACATCTACATGTTCCACATTTTAACTATCCAGTGTCCCAGTAATCGATTTCCAGTTTTCCTTTCCCACTGCCCCAGTGATGGATTTCCAGGCTTATTTTCCCACTGCCCCAGTGATGGGAACCTAGGATTACCTACCTATAGGCCCAGCTCTTCTATCTCTGTCCAGGTGGCAGACATCCAGGGCTGCCTTCAACTCCTGCCTTGACAAACATTTCTGCAAAGAAAATCCTAAATCCTCACATGTGTCTCCTCAAGCTCACTGAGATGTGTACTCAGAAGTAGAAAGGTAGGGTTGTAGGATACACTTACACTTAATCTGAATAAGTCATGTCAGATCCACTACCACTACCACTAGAAGTGCAATAGAGTTCTTATGCCTTCATATTTCAGTTGCTATTACCTAACTTTCAAATACCTGCCACTCTAATCATTTACAATTACAGCTCAATGATGCTTGAACTTGAATTTCTTAAATTACTCACCATTCTGACCATCTTATCACATGCCTCTTAGTTTTCTAAGTTTATTCTTCTGTAATTTCATGTTCATCTATTTTTGTCTGTTCCCTGGGGTGCCTTTTTCTAGTTGATTTTTAGGAGACACTTGTGTAGTTTATATATTAAGCACTAGTTGCTGTTAGATTTTGAAAATGTTTTTCCACTTATTATCAGTTAATTTTATTCAATGAGTTCTTTATTGAACAGAATGTTTAATTTTTATGTAATGTTATCAATTTGCAATTTTAATTTTTTTAATTTTTCAACTTTTAAATTTTGGAGTATATGTACAGGTTTGTTACCTGGATATATTTCATGATGCTGAGGCTTGGGTATAAATGATCCCATCACCCAGGTACTGGGCATAGAACCAACAGCTTTTCCACACCTGCTCCCCTCCCTCCCTGTCCACTCTAGTAGTCCCTAGTGTCTATTGTTGCCATCTTTAAGTCCATACGTACCCAATGGTTAGCTTTCACTTATAAATGAGAACACACAGTATTTGGTTTTCTGTTCCTACATTAATTTGCTTAGGATAATGGCCTCCAGCTGGATCTATATTGCCGCAAGGACATGATTTCATTCTTTTGTATGGCTCCAAAGTATTCTATGGTGTATATATACCACATTTTCTTTATCCAGTCCACTGTTGATGGGCACCTAGGTTGATTCCATGTCTTTGTTATTGTGAATAGTACTGGACTAAACATGTGAGTGTATGTGTTTTCAGTAGAACAATTTGTTTTCTTTTGCGTATATACCCAGTAATGGATTGCTGGGTCAAATGTTAGTTCTGTTTTTTAAGTTCTTTGAGAAACCTCCAATCTGCTTTCTACAGTGGCTGAAATAATTTATATTTCTACCAACAGTGTAGAAGTGCTCCCTTTTCTCTGCAGCCTCACCAATATCTGTTGTGTTTTGACTTTTTAATAATAGCTATTCTGAATGGTGTGAGATGCTATCTCATTGTGGAGCTTTGTTGTTGTTGCTGTTGTTATTGTTGTTGTTGTTGTTTTGAGACAGAGTCTTGCTCTGTCGCCCAGGCTGGAGTGCAGTGACGCGATCTTGGCTCACTGCAAGCTCCGCCTCCCGGGGTCACACCATTCTCCTGCCTCAGCCTCCAGAGTAGCTGGGACTACAGGCACCCGCCACCATGCCCGGCTAATTTTTTGTATTTTTATAGAGACGGGGTTTCACCGTGTTAGTCAGGATGGTCTCGATCTGCTGACCTCATGATCTGCCCACTTCGGCCTCCCAAAGTGCTGGGATTACAGGTGTGAGCCACCACACCCGGCTGTTGCTGTTGTTTTTTGAGATAGAGTCTCACTCTGTGGCCCAGGCTGATCTCAGCTCACTGCAATCTCCACTACCCTGCCCTGAGCTCAAGCTATTCTCCTGCCTCAAGCTCTGGAGTAGCTGAGATCACAGGCACATGCCACTAGGACCTGCTAATTTTTGTATTTTTAGTAGAGATGGGGTTTCACCATGTTGGCCAGGCTGGTCTCGAAGTCCTGACCTCTAGTGTTCCACATGCCTAGGCCTCCCGAAGTGCTGGAATTACATCATTGTGTTTTTGATTTGCATTTCTGTAATGATTAGCGATATGCAGAAATTTTTTAATTTTTATTTTTATTTTAAGTTCTGGGGTACATGAGCAGGATGTGCAGGTTTGTTACATAGGTAAACATGTGCCATGGTGGTTTGCTGAACCTATCAACCCACCACCTAGGTATTAAGCCCAGCATGCATTAGCTATTTTTCCTAATGCTCTCCTTCCCTCTACCCCACCCCCTGTATTCTTGATTTAGCTCTCAGCTTGAACAGTATTGGTATATAGAAATACGGCTGGTTTTTTTACATTGATTTTGTATCCTAAAGATTTGATGAAGTTGTTTACTGATTCCTGGAGCCTTTTGGTGAAGTCTTCAGGGTATTCAAGAAATAGAATTATATCATCAGCAAGAAGAGATAGTTTGACTTATTTTCCTATTTGGATGCCTTTCTCTGGCCTGATTGCTCTGACTAGTATTTCCAATACTATGTTGAATAGGAGGGGGAAGAGTAGGCATCTTTGTCTTATTCCAGTTATCAAGGAGAATGCTTCCAGTTTTTGCCTGTTCAGTATGTTGTTGGCTGTGGGTTTGTCATAAATGGCTTTCATCATTTTGAGGTATGTTGCCTAGTTTCTCCAGGGTTTTTACCATGAAAGAATGCTGGATTTTATCTAAAGCTCTTTTTGCACCTATTGAGATGATCATATAGTTTTTGTAATATAATTCTGTTTATGTGATGAATCACATTTATTGATTTGCATATGTTGAAACAACCTTGCATCCTGGGAATGAAGCCTACTTGATTATGGTCAACTAACTTATTGATGTGCTGCTGAATTCAGTTTGTTAGTATTTTGTTGAGGTTTTTTTGCATCTATGTTCATCAGGGATATTGGCCAGTAGTTTTCTTTAGTGGTTGTGTCTTTGGCAGGGTGTTGCTAGCTTCATATAATGAGTTAAGGGGGAGACCCTCCTCCTCAAATTTTTGAAATAGTTTCAGTAGAATAAGTACCAGGTCTTCTTTGTACATCTGGTAGGATTCAGCTATGAATCCTTCTGGTCCAGGGCTTTTTTGGTTGTTAGGTTTTTTTATTACTGATTCAATTTCAGAACCCGATATTGTTCTGTTCGAGGTTTCAATTTCTTCATGACTCAATCTTAGGAGATTGTGTTTTTCCAAGAATTTATCCATTTCCTCTAGATTTCCTAGTTTGTGTGCATAGAGGTATTCATAATAGTCCCTGAGCATTTTTTTTTATTTCTGTGGGTTCAGTTGTAATGTCACTTTTGTCATTTCTGATAGTGTTTATTTGGATCTTTTCTCCTTGTAAATCTGGCTAGTGGTCTATCAATCCTGTGTATTCTTTCAAACACCAACCTTTGATTTCATCAATTCTTTATATGAATTTTTGGGTGTCAATTTCATTCAGTTCCACTCTAATTTTAGTTATTTCTTTTATTTTGCTAGCTTTAGGGTTAGTTCATCCTTGTTTTCCTAGTTCCTTGAGGTGCATTGTTAGATCATTAATTTGAGATCTTCCTAACTTTTTGAAGTAGGCATTTAGCACTATAAACTTTCCTCTTAACACTGCTTTTGCTAATTCCCATAGATTAGGGTAATTTGTGTCTCTGTTTTTATTTAGTTGAAATTTTTTTATTTCTGCCTTGATTTCATCATATACCCCAAAGTCATTCAGGAGCATATTGTTTAATGTCCATGAAATTGTATGCTTTGGGGAGATTTTCTTAGTATTTATTTTTATTTTTGTTTCACTGTGGTCTGAGAGTACGGTTGGTAGGTTTTTGATTTTTTTGAATGTATTGAGACTTGCTTTATAGGGGAGTAGGTGGTCAATCTAGGACTATGTTTCATGTGCAGATAAAAAAATGTATATTCTGTGGTTGATAGGTGGAGTATTCTGTAGATGTCTATTAGGTCCAATTTGTCAAGTGTCAAGTTTAAGTCCAGAATTTTTTTGTTAGTTTTCTGACTTGATGATCTGTCTGATGCAGTCATTGTGGTGTTGAAGGTCACTACTATTATTGTGTGACTGTCTAAATCTTATAACAAGTCTAGAAGTACTTGTCTTATGAATCTGGATACTCCAATGTTGGGAGCTTAAATATTTAGGATAGTTAAGCCTTCTTGAATTAAACACTTTATCATTATGTATTGCCCTTCTTTGTTCTTTTTTACTGTTGTTGGTTTAAAGTCTGTTTTGTTCTGATATAAGAATAGCAATTCCTTCTTTTTTTCTTTTCCATTTGCATGGCAGATCTTTCTCTGACCCTTTACTTTGAGCCTATGAGTGTCATTATTTTGAAATTCCTTAAGATTTTTAATTCCAGAAACTCTGATTGATTTATTTTTAAGATGTTTATCTCTTCCTTCATTTCCTAGATTGCTTAAAAGTTTCTTTGTGTTACTTTTCAACCTTGTCTTGGATCTCATTGAGCTTTCTTGCAATTCCTGCTTTGAATTCTTTATCTGTCATTTGTGAATTTCCATTTCGGTTAAGGAACCATTCCTGGAGTGCAAGTAGAATCCTTTGGTGGAGTCACTATGTTCATCTTCAACTGAAATTCCAGGTGGTGGTGAGTCCAATTATTTCATGAGTCCCTCATTTCACAAAACATGAAAGCTGTTTTTTTATAAATCTTTTTTTTTTTTTTTTTTTTTTTTTTTTTGAGACAGAGTTTTTGCTCTTATTGCCCAGGCTGGAGTGCAATGGCATGATCTCAGCTCACTGCAATCTCTGCCTCCCTGCAATTTCTGCCTCCCCGGTTCAAGCGATTCTCCTGCCTCAGCCTCCTGAGTAGCTGGGATTACAGGTATGTACCACCACGCCTGGCTAATTTTGTATTTTTAGTAGAGACAGGGTTTCTCCATATTGGTGAGTCTGGTATCGAACTCCCAAGCTCAGGTGATCCGCCTGCCTTGGCCTCCCAAAGTGTTGGGATTACAGGCGTGAGCCACCGTGCCTGGCCTAATTCATTTTTTAAATGGGTTTATTTTTTGTTTTTACCCATTCAACAGAAAAAAAAAATTAGACATGGTGAAATTTACAATTGGTGACATCATCCTTCACTCTGTCTGTACTATGAGATTCTACACTTAAAGCTCAGCATTATTGGTATAAAACTTTAAGACACCATAAGGATTCTCAAGTGAAGAAAAAGGGGGAAATTAAAAATGATCTGCAAACAACTAAGAATGACTAAACATTGAACCAGACCTAAAACATCTTCCAATTCCTCTGCACACTGCATCCCATTACTATCCAGCCAGATCAGACAACAGGGAAGGAACAGAGAAGCCACTTGGTAGATATTTTCAAGGGATTTTAACAGAATACTCTCAAATGAGAAAACAACTCATGGTTTCTTATGTTTGCTATAAAGCAATAAAAGGGTGAGAATTATGAAATCTCAAATGGAGATATTAAATGACTGTGAATTTAGGAAAAAGATCATAATTTCTGACAAAATAGAAAAAATTAATTGGGATGTACTAGGTTTGTTTTGCTTTGTTTGTTTTTAAGGATACTTATATTTCACATTGGTCTCATTGATAAGGTGACCCAAAAAAACTTTTTTTTTTTTTTTTTTTTTTTTTTGAGACAGAGTCTCACTCTGTCGCCCAGGCTCACTGCAGAGCATGGCTCACTGCAACCTCCGTCTCCTGGGTTCAAGCAATTCTCCTGCCTCAGCCTCCCAAGTAGCTGGGATTACAGGCACTCACCACCATGCCTGGCTAATTTTTGTATTTTTAGTAGAGATGGGGTTTCACCATCTTGGCTAGGCTGGTCTTGAACTCCTGACCTCATGATCCACCCACCTCGCAATGTGGCAGGATTACAGGCATGAGAGTGAGTTCTACAGTATCATTTTAAAAAGTACAGGTGAATGTGGATCCATCTGCGAAAAAAAAAAAAAGAACTACAAAAAGACAAAAATGCAACACTCAGCCCTTGCAAAGGACGACACACTGGAGCTGACCAAGCACGTGCTTTATAAATGCTTTTTCAAAATCAAATGATAGAACATACAAGAAACTGGTTTGTTCTTATTGTTTATTTTGATTGTGTCATTCCTTGCACATCACCTCCTCATCGTCCTAGCATTTCGCGTAGTGAGAAAAGTCATCAAAGATAAAGGTTGTGTGCTTGTAGGAAGCAATAATTTTCAGCACTTGTTTTTCTTTTTCTAAAGGCACCTCCTGTGTGTCATGGTTTATGACTGGCTTGTTGTCATGATTCTCCAGTCTGATGTGCCTGAGCTCGTTATTGGGTACATCACTGACAAAAATCCACTCGACATCAAACTTCCCCTTCCATTTGTCTTGAGACCAGACTCCGGCACTGGTGCTGCTGTCCACAGAGCACTTCATCTCCGCCACCCCACAGAAATACTCACTCCCACTGATGCCAAAGAGCAGGCAGACAGGCCCCTTGCTGCTTATGGAGCTGAATGCACTATTCAACTAAGTAGTGCCATGTTCTGTACTACACAAAAGGGAGTACTTAATGGAGTGGTGAATGTCATCCTCAGAATAGCTCTTTATAATGCGTACATGTCCACTTTTAAGATTCCAGTCAAATTCTTTAGGATTATAACTGTGGGCAGCTTTCACTTTTTTTTATACTTGGGGCAGAATTAGTCTTGGTATTTCCAGGAGAGTTACTACCACTGTCAGCCCCTCTGCTCTGCCCAAATGCCATATTTCCACGTGAGGAATGATCCAGCAGGTCTGGAATGGCTGCTGAGGGCTCTGATACTGTGGTTGAGCCAAAGCAGGAAGCTTCACTGGGAGAAGCTGAAGCACCTTCTGGGGTTGTAGGACAGCCTGTGAGGATCATGTCTCCTGGGGGGCCGGGGTCTTCAGCACAGGCCCCTTGTTATCCTGGGTGTCAATACCCATGTTATGCTTTATAGATGGAGGGGGCAATGCACCCCCCTATGACAGGCCCACTCCTTGTTTCCATTTTAGGCCGTGGTTTTGCAGGCTTGCTGGCAATGGCGGCCCATGAGGTCAGCTTTGAAACTGCCATGTTCACATATGTCCCATCATTGCCAGAAAGTATGCCAATCAGTGCCACACTGCTGATGACAGAGCCCACTGTCTTGACTGCAGAGGAGATGACATCCCCAATTTTCAGGCTGACTATGCCCTGCTTCAGGCTGTTCACCCCAGGGGCCTTGCTAAGGGTGTCGCTGTGAAAGCCCATCTGCCCATCAACCACTGCGTGGCCCAGGGAGCTTGGGGGTAGGTGTAGCTGCTCCCATATGTAGAGCTCTGAATCTGCTACCCTTGAGACCCACTTGTCCTCCATGCCAAGAATACAGGGTTTGGGGGTAAAAATTAAACCTGTGCTGATAGATTTTGTTCTCCGGACCCCAAGGCCACCCCAAAATAGAATTGTGCATAAAATTATGATCTCTGTTACTGAGCTGTTCATAGGTGATGAGGTGTAGAATCAAAGGGTCCCTTGCAGTGGACCACAGAGCCTCATTGAGGGATTAAGGAACTCCAGTGGATGGTGGGTAATAGCCGGACAGGTAGAGGTCACTCACTGAAGGGTAATTGTTACTCTAATTTGACTCTCCAGAAAGGTAGGGCTGAAAGTCATTGTCATGAACCACATCCTTCTGATGCAAAGAATCATTGTGTACTTTATTATCTTGTCCTTTTGTTCTCTAAGTGTCCATGCTGATGGTCACATGCTTCATGAACAGCCTGGGGCAGTGCAGGGCCGGGACACTGGCTGGCTCAAGCATCCCTGTGAGGCTGGGCCTGTCATCTCTGCTAACGCAATCTCTGGCCTCACCACCAACTCCCCAGGTACCAGCTGGGCAGTGGCAGTGGCAGTGGCTGCTGGGTGCTCAGGCCACTGGTGAGGCACTACCTCAGTAATGCTTTTCCCAAGCCCCAGTCTATGTAAGTTTCCTGTTATAAACTCCAATATTCCTCTGTAATTTTCTATTTTTCCATCATGGTAGTTATCATCCTTGCCATTTCTTTTTCTCTATTTTTTGAGACTGAGGGCTCACTACATTGCCCAGGCTGGTCTCAAACTCCTGAGTTCAAGCAATCCTCCCGCCTCAGCCTCCCAAGTAGCTGGGATTATAAGCATGTGCCACCAGGCCTGGCTATCCTTGCCATTTCTTTCCCGCTATCCACCTACTCAACAAAATTGTGAAGACAAAAGGGCAAGAAATGTGGCGATCTTGTTTACTAATGCTTATCCCAGCACCTTCCATGGGGTAGAAGGTGCTCAATGAAGTCTGCAGAATCAGTAAATAAATGGGAAAGAATGGGCATTTCATACATAACCAGAAATTTATATAATAAATAAAAGCCTATGAGAAAAACTAGATTTAATTAGTTTTAACTAATTTTACCTTGTAAAATAAGTGAAAGAAAGGGCTAATGGTGATGAAGGAATAAATAAAATATAAAACCATAGAGAAAATCAACAAGGTCAAAGTCATTTTTTAAAATTTTTTATAAAATTGATAAAGTCCTAGCAAGATGGAATAAGTAAATTGCTGACATCAAATATGAGATAGGGGACATTATTATAGATACTATAGAAATTAATGAGATAATAAAAGATGTTATGAAAATTTTATGTTAATAAATTTGTCAACTTAAATGAAATGGACAAATTTGGAAATAGGTAAACAAATTTTGATATGTTGATACAATGAAATACTGCATAGCAATACAAATAAATGAACTATTACTAGATACAATATGGATCTCAAAAACATTTTGTAAAGTGACAGAAGTCGTCCCCAACATAAAACACACTGTATATTTCTATCTATACGAAGTCAAAGAACAGGCAAAAATAATCAATGGATACAAACAAAAGAATAGTGATTTTCATTTGGGGGATCTTTGGGGGTGGTATGAATGGAAAAGGAAATGAAGGAACTTTCTAAAACAGCCATTCTCAATTAGATGCAATGAGAGAATTAGACCTCACAGAAAATAATTTGAGACGCTATCTTCTTAATTATTCTAATAATGATACATAGTATCATTCTTGATGCACGAGAGGTAAACTGATGCATTAGAAACAGTGTATGCCTTTGGTCATGAGGATTTAACTCCCTTCTAGATCCCCAGTTGAGAGGTACTATCTGAGGCTGCACTGTTCCATATTGTAGCCACTAGCCACATGTGGCCATAAGAATTTAAATTTAAATTATTTAAAATTAAATACAATTTAAAATTTAGTTCCTCAGTCAGACCAGCCACACTTCAAATGCTCAAAAACCATATATGGCAAGAGCTGCTATATTAGATAATACATATGTGTCAATTTTATTTCAAATTTTAAAAATAAGAAGTTAGCACAAATAAGTTTATATTACATATGAATAAGGTTTTAAAGTTTGATGATGGTAAGGCATTATGTCTCATGAAACACACACACACAAAAAAAAAAAAATCTTACTTTTGTCAGTTTTCATAATATAACACATCTACTAAACTACAACATTTCATATTATTACCGGTCCTGAATAATCACTTTCCATGAAAATCGCAATTTAGAAATGTGTATCTGGGCTTGAGTTCATTTTGAAATATAATTAATACCCCCAGGACTGGTCAGATTTGTTTCACCCAATTTATCTTTAAAGGATTATAGAGCCAGGGTATTTTGCAGCAATACATGGACCAAATGCTTAATATTCAAGATGGGCTTTAACACAGCACACTTGGTGAAAAACACCACCACTACTACAAACAATAGAACACTTTCTATATTAGCCAAGTTAAACATATCAGCATTTTTCATACAGTCATGCAATCAAACAGACTTCATTTTACAAGACACTGTTCATTGGACTCTAAAATGAGTTTGCTAAATTAATATTTCAATGAATTACTGTTAAAGAGAATATATAGATTTTCAAGTGCCATTGGTTTAGATCGAAGTGTCTTAGAACCAAAAAACCAAGTTATCAATAGTTGTCAGCAGTCTGTAAGTATTCAACTTAAAGGAATATGTGTAAATTGTGAATTTATTCCAAACATCCAAACAAGAAAATAAAATTTAAAAAAGGCTCTGATTCCTAGAATAGCCTATAGCCAAATTTCTACCAAAAGAATGCTTATTTTAAATAAATTCTCAGCCCTACAAAATGTAACAGCTGAATTATAGTCTGAGGTCGAGCACATATATAGACATGTAAAGTCTAGTGTGTATATAACAAACTAGCCTGCCCTAATGCTCAGGAGGTCCCAACAATGTCCAGTTGATATTGGAAAGATGAGTTCTAAGCCACAGAGCTCAGTCACAGTGTGCTCGAGGCAGCTTGCCCTGTCTTTCAAGAGCCTATAGTACTCATTTCTTCCCAATTCCACTTTCAGGGACATCATGTTAGTAGCTTGAATTACGCCACAGTGGAAATTTCCAGATGGTTCTTATTTAAACATTGAAATAATAAGTAATAACACACTGGAAAATGACAATAATATGAAATAGGTCCTGCACTAGAAAAATGTTTTATGGTTTATCGTTGTGTTGCCCCTGACTGTTGCTCTCACCCACTCCACAATCTTATTTAATGACATCTCCAATCTCTGGATGCTCAGGCAAAATACTTTACAATCACGCTTCTCTTTATCTCATGCCCCTTTTGTCACCTATCAAAAAATTTGGCTGCTGTTACTTTCAAAATATATCCAGAATTCAACTATTTCCCACACTTCTCACTGCTACCACCCTGGACCAAGCCACCAACAGCTCTTTCCCTGTCTTCATCTGCTCTTAACTGCTGCCATTCTACCCCTTACCACCTAGTCTCAGAATACCAGCCCCAGGGACACTCAAAACCCTGCTGGCTCCCCATTCATAGTAAAAAATCTGAAGTCTTTACAGCAGTCTGTTGATCTGACCCCTGTTCCCACTCTGAACACAGTTTTAGCTACTTTCCTCTCACTCTCTTCACTCTAGCCACATAGGCCTTTTTGCTCTTCCTTGAACATCCCAGGAAATTTCCCACTTCCATGCCTTTGCATGAATTGTCCTAGTATTAGAATGCTCTTGCCTAGTACATGCATGACTACCTCTTTCACTCCCTTCAAGTCTTGACTCAAATGTCACCTTAATAAGACTGATCACACTCTCCAATTGCAATGCCCTCTTCAGCAATTGCCACTCTCCTTTATCCTGCTCCACTTTCCCTTTCCTCCCATAGCACTTATTAACTTCTAACATAGTATACAATTTACTTATTTTATGTAAATAAAGGCAAGTAAAGTTAATACTTTATGAAAGCAGAGTCTTTCATCAATTTTATTTGCAGATGTATCCCATGCCTCTGGAATAGTGCTTGGCACATCATATTTGCTCAAGAAATGTTTGTTAATGAAAAAATGAGTGGCTATCCCAAACTCTAAAGAATGTCAGATAGCTTTGTTTTCTCCTTTGATCTTAAGATGTTTGGGAACATGATAACTGGATCTGAAAGCCATCCAAATGTGTTGTGAAAATGTTCAGAATTGTTTAATCACATCTGTGATTCCATTCTGTAAACCAAAATCTGTCAGAAATCTAATGCCAAAATTGTTAGTGGAATTTTCTTGCTCACTGCATCACTTCTAAGAACAGTTTGAATCATTGCCTGAGATCCTAAAGGCTATAAATATACAATCTGCTTCTTAACTGGTGAGGAGACTCTAGTTTGTGTAAAAGTTTTAAGCATATTTTAGGAGACACAAACGGTTTGAACAATAAAATTAACCTATGATTTACAGGAGCAAAAAACAAATGATTTTACCATCCAGTAAAATTTTATGCTTGACTGCTCCATTATTTTATATCTGTACATGAAACTACTTTTCATTTTCTTTACTGGATACTATCAAGGTACAAATAATAACTCAAAATCTAGAAGTATAAAATTCTTATAACATCAAAGAACCAGCAGAACTAGTGTACTTTGTATTGTTCAATAATGTAGGTGGCGGTAAAAGAATGTATTATCACATTTGAACACTCCAATTCTAAAATTTTATAAAATGTCTTTAAATTATATTAAAATGATCAATATATTTTGAAGCAAATTTCTCAAATGGCCTTCAGACACAATCTTCATAGCCATGCAGAGATGTAAAGCAACAAATAACCTACATTTGTTTTAAAAATGTGTTGCAATGCTCTATACACCTAACATATGCTTTAGAAGTTCAAATTCATTGCTATAGCAGTAAACATGACTGACAGCTTTAGAATAAGTTAAAGAAATAAAAAAGAATTTTTAACACTATTATGAGTGCCTGGATGGGAAGAAGTAAAAAGAGAACACAGGGAATTCTAACTTCTCCATACCTCTGGAGGATAAGAGAGTTGTTTGTTATTCATTTTTTTGTTGCTCTCTTTTAGAAATAAAGTGACGGAGCATGAGCTACATTTTCACCTACCAATTTTTGGCAGAAGCAGCTAAACAAGTGGTGCAAAAAGGAACCATGGCTCCTGCTGTCATGGCTGAGATAACCATAGCCATCAGCATTGAATGGTGATGTAAGAAATATAATCATTGTAACAATCAAAGTGCACAAGCCCTACCTGGTCCATTCATATGTAACTCAATGAACATTGTTCTCCTTGGGCAAGATAAGCAGCCCCAAAGTGCAGGTGAACAGAAGATATGGGGAGATTACTGGCTTCAGTGTGAATCCTAGCCAGTTTGAAAGTTCATATTGGAAGCAAAACCACTAAAGAGGAAGTATTACTAAGCAATAATGCGTATTAAGAGCACGGTATTATTGTTGATTAAATTCTCAAGTATTTATTAATTTTTAAATGCACTATATGCCTTCCTAAGAAAAACTTAGATCTCACGTGCCTCTAGAATCCTTGTTTCAGTGCACACTAAATATTTAGGAATGACATATGAAAAATTTCCAGCTTTTCTATACCTTTCAATTAAATAACAAATATCTAGTAATTGCCTACCATTTACCAGACACATGTTTGGAGTGCAATAATAAACAAGGTAAGTGATGCTAGTAATTTTTGTACATTGATTTTGTATCCTGGAACTGCTGCAGTTGTTTATTAGCTGAAGGGGCTTTTGAGTTAAGACTATGGAGTTTTCTAGATATAGCATCTTGTCATCTGCAAACAGAGATAGTTTGGCTTCCTCTTTTCCTATTTAGATGCCCTTTATTTCCTTTACTTGATTGATGTCTCTGGCTAAGACTTCGGTAGTATGTTGAATAAAAGTGGTTAGAGAGGGCATACTTGTCTTGTGCCACTTTTCAAGAGGAATATTTCCAGCTTTTGTCCATTCAATATAATGTTGGCTGTGAGTTTGTCACAGATGACCCTTACCATTTTGAGGCATGTTCCTTTAATACCTCGTTTATTGACAGTTTTTAACAGGAAAGACAGCTGTCACTTTAAATTAAAAGCTAGAAATGATTATGCTTACTGGGACAAGCCAAAAGCTAGGCCTCTTTTGCAAAATAGCCAAGTTTTGAATGAAAAGGAAAAGCTCTTGAAGAAAATTAAATGTGCTAGTCCAGTAAACACATGAATGATAAGAAAACAAATCAGCCTTATTATTGATATTTTTAAAAGTTTGAGTAGCCTGTATAGAAGATCAAAGCAGCTATAACATTCCCTTAAGCCAAAGCCTAATCCAGAGCGAGGCCCTAACTCTCTTCAGTTCTAAGAAGGCTGAGAGAGGTGAGAAAGCTGCTGAAGAAGAGTTTGAAGCTAGCAGAGGTTTATTCATGAGGTTTAAGGAAAGAAACTGTCTCCGTCATACAAAAGTGCAGGCCAGGCATGGTGGCTCATGCCTGTAATCCCAGCATTTTGGGAAGCCGAGGCAGATGGATCACAAAGTCAACAGATCAAGACCATCCTGGCCAACATGGTGAAACCCCGTCTCTACTAAAAATACAAAAATTAGCTGGACGTGACAGCATGTGCCTGTAATCCCAGCTACTCAGAAGCCTGAAGGAGGAGAATCACTTGAACCTAGGAGGCAGAGATTGCAGTGAGCCGAGATGGCACCACTGCACTTCAGTCTGGAGACAGAGCGAGACTTCGTCTCAAAACAACAACAACAAAAAACTGCAAGATGAAGCAGCAAGTGCTCATGTAGAAGCTGCAGCAAGCTATCCAGGAGATCTAGCTAAGATAATTGATAAAGGTGACTACACTAAACAACAGATGTTTAATATAGATGAAACAGCCTTATATTGGAAAAAGATGCCATCTAGCACTTTTATAGCTGGAGAAGTCAGCCTGGCTCCAAAGATTCAAAGAACAGGCTGATTTTCTTGTTAAGGGCTAATGCAGCTGGTGACCTGAGATCGAATCCCATGATCATTTACCATTTCAAAAATCCTAGGGCCCTTAAGAATTATGCTAAATCTACTCTGCCTACTCTATAAATGAAACAAGAAAGCCTGAGAGACAGCACATCTATTTACATAATTGTTTACTGAATATTTTAAGCCCACTTTTGAGACCTATTGCTGAGACCAAAAAAAAAAAAAAATCTCTTCAAAATGTTACTGTTTATCGACAAAGCATGCATGGTCACACAAGAGTTCTGGTAGAGATGTAGAAGGAGATTAATGTTATTTTTTTTAATTTATTTATTATTATTATACTTTAAGTTCCATGGTACATGTGCACAATGTGCAGGTTTGTTACATAGGTATATATGTGCCATGTTTGTTTGCTGCACCTATCAACTCATCATTTACATTAGGTATTTCTCCTAATGCTATCCCTCCCCCAGCCTTCCACCCCTGCCAGGCCCCGGTGTGTGATGTTCCCCTCCTTGTGTCCAAGTGATCTCATTGTTCAACTCCCACCTATGAGTGAGAATATGCGGTGTTTGGTTTTCGCTTCTTGTGTTTCTTTGCTGAGAATGATGGTTTCAAGTTTCATCCATGTCCCTGTAAAGGACATGAACTCATCCTTTTTTATGGCTGCATAGTATTCCAAGGTATATATGTACCACATTTTCTTTATCCAGTCTATCATTGATGGGCATTTGGGTTGGTTCCAAGACTTTGCTATTGTGAACAGTGCCGCAATAAACATACGTGTGCATGTGTCTTTATAGTAGAATGATTTATAATCCTTTGGGTATATACCCAGTAATGGGATTGCTGGATCAAATGGTATTTCTAGTTCTAGATCCTTGAGGAGTCGCCACACTGTCTTCCACAATGGTTGAACTAATTTACACTCCCACCAACAGTGTAAAAGCGTTCCTATTTCTCCACATCCTCTCCAGCATCTGTTGTTTCCTGACTTTTTAATAATTGCCATTCTAACTGGCATGAGATGGTATCTCATTTTGTTTTGATTTGCATTTCTCTAATGACCAGTGATAATGAGCATTTTTTCATAAGCTTCTTGGTTGCATAAATGTCTTCTTTTGAGAAGTGTCTGTTCATATCCTTCGCCCACTTTTTGATGGGGTTGTTTTTTTCTTGTAAATTTGTTTAGAAATAGTTCTTTGTGGATTCTGGATATTAGCTCTTTGTCAGATGGATAGATTGCAAGATTTTCTCCCATTCTGTAGGTTGTGAGATTAATGTGTTTATGTCCACTAACACAACATCCATTTTGTAGCCAATGGAACAAGAAGTGATTTTGACTTTCACATCTTATTATTTAAGAAATACATCTTGCAAGGCTGTGGGTGCCATGCATAGTGAGTCCTTTGTTGGATCTTGGCAATGTAACTTGAAAACCTTCTGGAAAGGATTTACCATTCTAGAAAATAATAATAATATTTGTGATTCCTGAGAAGAGGTCAAATATTAACATTAATAGAAGTTTGGAAGAAGTTGATTCTAATGTTCATGGATGACTTTGAGGAGTTTAAGGTTTCAGCGGAAAGAGTAATTGCAGATGTGGTGGAGATAGAATGAGAACTAGAATTAAAAATGGGCCCGAAGATATGACTGAATTGCTGCAAGCTTATAATAACACTAACCTATGAAGAGTTGTTTCTTACAGATGAGCAAGGAAAGTAGTTTCTTGAGAGGGGAACTTCTTCTGGTGAAGATTCTGTAAACATAGGATTTAGAATACTACGTAAACTTAGTTGATAAAACAGTGGCAGGGTTTGAGAGGACTGACTCTAATCTTGAAAGAAGTTCTACTGTGGGTAAAATGCTATCAAACATTGTAAGCTACAGAGAAATCTCTCATGAAAGGAAGAGTCAAGTGATGCAGCAAACTTTATTGTTGTCTTAAAAAATTGCCGCAGGCACCCCAACCTTCAACAACTACCACCCTTATCAGCCAGCAGCCATCAACATTGAGGCAAGACCCTCTATCAACAAAAAGACCATGACTTATTGAATGTTCAGATGATTGTTAGTGTTTTTTTTTAGCAATACAGTATGCTTTAATTAAGGTATCATTGTCTTAGACATAATGCTATTTCACAGTTAATATACTACAGTATAGTGTAAACATAACTTTTAAATGCACTAGGAAACAAAATAATTTCTGTGACTTGCTTTATTGCAACATTCATTTAATTATGGTGGTCTGAAACCAAACTTGAACTATCTTCAAAGTCTGTATAAATGAAGCCTAGAAGGATACCATCCAAGCAGTTAATAGTGGTAGACAACAGATTCAAATTTGTACACTTGTGCACTATTTGAACCATTTAAGTAAGCATATATCACTTCTCTAATAAAAAACAATTTTTCATTGGGTAGATCTGTCCAATATCTTGCTACCCACCTAATTATTAGTAAATGCTTTGTGATGTAATTATCTGGGAGGCAGAGCAAGATGGCAGGATAGATGACTCCACTGATCATATCTCCTGCAAGTACATCAACTTAACAACTATCTACCCAGAAAAAAATAAAAAACACCTTCATAAGAACTAAAAACCAGGTGAGCCCTCATAGTACCTGGTTTTAACTACACATCACTGAAAGAGGTACTGAAGAGATAGAAAAAAAGTCTTGAATCACCAGTGCCACCCCACCCCTATCACCCCAGCATTGGCAGCATGTTGAGAAGAGCATCTCTGGGTGCTGAGGGAGGGAGAACACAGCAATTGTGAGCCACTGAACTCAGTGCTGTCCTGGTAGAGCAAAAAGCAAAACCAGACCAAATTCAGCTGATGCCCAACCACAGAGGGAGCATTTAAACAAGCCCTAGCCAAAGGGGAATTACCAATCCCAAAGGTCAAAACTTGAATTCCCACAAACCTCACCACTAAGGGCCAAAGTGCTCTGAGTCTCTAAGTAAACGTGAAAGGCAATCTAGGACATAAGGACTGCAACCCTTAGGCAAGTTCTAGTGTTGAACCAGGCTAAGAGACAATGGAACACACAACCTACTGAGATAGCTGGAGCAGCTAAGGAAATGCTGGCATCACCCTTCCCCTTACCACAGGCTGCACAGCTCCTGACTCCAAAAGAGACCCCTTCCTTACGCTTGAAGAAAGAACAGGAAAGAGAGGGGAAGACCTTGTCTTGCATCTTGAGTACCAGCTCAGCCACAGCAGAATAGGGCACTGCTCAGTCATGAGGCCTTAATTCCTAGGCTCTAGCTCCCAGACAACATTTCTAGACACAACCTGGCCCAGAATAGAACCTATTACCTTGAAAAGAATAAACTATTCTTGGCACCATTTATCACCTGCTAACTGAAGAGCCCTTGGGCCCTGAACGACAAGCAGCAATACCCAGGAAGTACATTGAAGGCCTTGGGTGAGCTTCTGAGATTCACTGGCTTCAGGTGAGATCCAGCATGTTACTGGCTGTGGTGGCTATAGGGTGAAACTCCTTCTGCTTGAGAAAAGCAGAAGAAAAAGTACAGCGGAATTTGCCTTGCACTTTTATGTACCAGCATGGCCACAGGAGGATAGAGAATACCAAGTGGGCTCTTGGGGTCCCTGATTCCAGGTCTTGACTCTTGTCAAGTATCTCAGGACCTGCCCTGGCCCAGAGGGGAGCCCACTGCCCTAAAGGGTGAGTCCCAGGTCAGGCAGCATTCATCACATGCTTATTTAAGAATTATTGGACCTTAAGCGAACATCAGCAGCAGTCAGGCAGAACTCCTCATGGCCTGTGGTGGCCGTGACTATGAGGTGAAGCTTCTCTGACTTTGGAAAGGGGAGGAAAGAGTGGAAAGGACTGTATCTTGTGGTTTGAGTGTCAGCTCAGCCACAGTACAAGAGTACACCCCATAGACTTCTAAGGTTTGTGACTCTAGTCCCTGAATCCCAGACAGAAACTGTGGATTCACTCGGGGCCTGAGAGAACTTGCCACCCTGAAGGGAAGGACACAGGCTTAGCTGGCTTTGCCACCTGCTGATTGTAGAGCCCCAGGGCCTTGAGCAAACATAGGCAGTAACCAGGGAGTGGTTACAGCAGGCCTTAGATGAAACCCAGTGCTGTAATGGCTTCAGGTCTGATCTGGTGCAGTCATAGTGGCGGTGGCCACAGGGGTACTTGTGGCACTCCACCCCTAGCTGTAGGTGGCTCAGAAGAGAGAGAGACTCTGTTTGTTTACTAGAAAGTAAAGGAAGAAAACAAGAGTCTCCAAGGGGTAATGAGAAAATTCTCCCAGATCTTGCCCAAGACTATCAAGGTGGTACATCAGTGAGTCTACAATAACCACAGCGTTATTGGGCTTGGGGTGCTCCCTGAAGCAAATGCAGGTTAGATCACAAAACCCAAGTCCTTGAAAATATCTAGCAAGCATTCCCAAGAAGGACAGGTATAGACAAGCCCAGATAGTGAAGACTACAATAAATACCAAACTCTTCAATGTTAAGCCACTGAAGAAAATCTGCTAACATTAACACCATCCAGGAAAACATGACCTGACCAAATGAACTAAATAAGACACCAGGAACCAATCCTGGAAAAAGAGATGTGTGACCTTTCAGACAGAGAATTCAAAATGGCTGTCTTGAGGGAACCTCAAAGGAATTCAAGAGAAAACAGAGAAGGGATTCAGAATTCTATCAGATAAATTTAACACAGATGAAAATAATTAAAAAGGATCAAGCAGAAAGTATGAAGCAGAAAAATGCAACTGTCATACTGAAGAATGCATCAGAGTCTTTTATTAGTGGAATTGATCAAGCAGAAGAAAGAGTTAGTGAGCTTCAAGGCAAGCTATTTGAAAATTCACAGAAGAGACAAAAGAAAAAATTAAAAAAAAAGAAGCATGCTTTAAAGATATAGAAAATAGCCTCTATAAAAATAGCCTCAACAGGAGAATGGCGTGAACCTGGGAGGCAGAGCTTGCAGTGAGCCGAGATCATGCCACTGGACTCCAGCCTGGGTGAAAGAGCGAGACTCCGTCTCACCAAAAAAAAAAAAAAAAAAGCCTCAAAAGGGCAAATTTGAGATCTGACCTTAAAGAAGAAGTAGAGAAAAAGAAGTAGACAGTTTATTCAAAGGAATAAAAACAGAAAACTTCCCAATCCTACTGAAAGATGGCGGTATTTGAATACAAGAAGGTTATATGAACACAAGCAGACTTAATCCAAAAAGATGACCTCAAGGCATTTAATAATCAAACTCCCAAAGATCAAAGAAAGGATTCTAAAAGCAGCAAGAGAAAAGAAATAACATACAATGGAGCTCCAATACGTCTGGCACCAGACTTTTCAATGGAAAGCCAGGAGAGAGTGGCAAGACATATTTAAAGTGCTAAGGGGGGCGGGGGGAAAACTTTACCCTAGAATAAATATCTGGTGAAAATATCCTTCAAACATGAAGTAGACAAACAAAAGCTGAGGGATTTCATCAACACCAGATCTGTCCCACAAGAAATGGTAAAAGGAATAATTCAATCAGAGAAAAATAAGAATGTTAATTAGTAATAAGTAATCACCTGAATGTAAAAAACTCGCTGGTAATAGTAAGTACACAGAAAAATGCAGCACAGTGTAACACTGCAACTGTGATGTGTAAACTACTCTTAGATACAAAGACTAAAAATAGAATCAATCAAAAATAATAACTACAGCAACTTTTCAGGACACAGAAAGTATAATAAGATGCTGATAAAATCAACACAAAGTTTAAAAGTTGGGGGGATGGAGGGCGAAGTAAAGGTGTAGAGTTTTTATTTTACATACACTGACTCCAGGCTTCCCAGTGAAAGTGACAGCAACTCCAGCAAGGCAGGAGGTTGGACCTCTGTACATACCCCTTTGAAGGGGACTGAATCCAGGGAGCTGAGCAGTGACTGTCTCTGGGCCCTACTTCCACAGCACTACACAGGATAAGACCCACTGGCCTGGAATTCCAGCCAGCCACCAGAAATAGCATTGCACCTACCTGGGACAGAGTTCCTGTGGGGAGGAATGGGCTGCCATCTTTTCTGTTTGGGAGACTCAGCTGTTCCAGTCTTAGGGCTTTTGAGAGTCCAAACTGGCCAAGGGCAGAAGGAATCCCCCAGCACAGCACAGCTACTCTACCAAAACATGGCCAGACAGCTTCTTCACGTGGGTCTCCAATCTGTACCTCCTCGCTGGGTGGGACTTTCCAACTAGGGCCTCAAGCCACCCTCACCAGTGTTCTCAGGCCGATAGAGATTTGAATACACCCTGAGAGGAAGTTCCCAAAGGGAGGGGCAAGCCACTATCTTTGCTGGCTGGGTGACTTAGACATTCGAGCCTGTGGGCTTTGGAAATCTCAAGCTGACTGGGGCAGAAGTGGTCCCCCAGCACAGCAGAGCTGCTCTATGAAAGGC
Organism: Homo sapiens; assembly: GCF_000001405.40. Lineage (NCBI taxonomy): Eukaryota > Metazoa > Chordata > Mammalia > Primates > Hominidae > Homo > Homo sapiens. The sequence goes on along the minus strand of NC_000005.10, from coordinate 97,355,747 downwards.
ATGGCCAGACTGCTTCTTTAGATAGCTTTACCAATTATGTGTCTCCTAACTGGGCAGAACCTCCCAAACAGGTCCTCCAGCCACCCCTGCTGGTGTTCTCTATCTGACAGACATTTGAATTCTCCCAGGGATGGAGTTCTCAGGAAGAGGGGTGGCTGACACCTTTGCTGTTTGTGTGACTGAGCCATTTCAGTCTGTGGGCTTTGCAGAGTCCAAACCAACCAGGGTCAAAGGAGATACCCCAGCACAGCACAGCTGCTCTAACAAAATGTGGCCAGACTGCTTCTTTGAATAGGTCCTCAATCCTGTTCCTCCTGACTAGATATGACTTCCTAACAGGGGTCTCCAGCCACTTCTACAGGTGCTTTCAGCCAGCAACACCCCCATACCTCTCTGGGCTGGAGGTCCCAGAGGAAGGAGCAGGCTGCCTTCTTTGCTGTTTTGCAGGCTTCACTGATGATACCTCTGGGTGCTGAAAAAATCCAAGGCAACTAGAGATTGGAGCAGACCCCCAGCAGACCACAGCAGCCCTATGGAAAAGTAGCCAGACCATTAAAAGAAATAGAAAACAAAAATCCAAAGGTCAGCAGCCTCAAAGATTGAAGGTAGATAAGCCCAAAAAGATGAGAAAGAATCAGCGCAAGAACACTCAAAATTCAAAAAGCCAGAGTGCCCTCTTTCCTCCAATTACTGTATCACCTCACTAGCAAGGATTCAAAACTGGGCTGAGGCTGAGATGGCTGAAATGACAGAAGTCGAACTCAGAAAATGGATAAAAACAAACTTCACTGACCTTAAGAAGCACCTTGTAACCCAATGCAATGAAGCTAAAAATCATGATAAAACATTATATGAGCTGACAAACAAAATACAGTATAGAGAAGAATGTAACTGAGCTGACAGAGCTAAAAAAAAAATAAAAGAATTTCATAATGCAATCACAAGTATTAATAGCAGAATAGACCAAGTGGAGAAAAGAATCTTAGAGCTTGAAGACTGTCTTTCTGAAGAAGACAGACAGACAAGAATAGAGAAAAATGAAATGAAAAGAAATGGTCAAAACCTCTGAGAAATATGGGATTATGTAAAGAGACTGAATCCATGACTGATTAGTGTACCTGAAAGAGATAGGGAGAATGGAAAGTTGGAAAATATATTTCAGGATATCGTCCATGAGAAATTCCCCAACTTAGCTAGGCAGGCCAACCTTCAAATTCAGGAAATGCCCAGAACCCCAGTTACATTACTCCACAAGAAGATCATTTCCAAGACACATCATCCTCAGAATTTCCAGTGTCAAAATGAGAAAAAAAAAATGTTAAGGGCAGTTAGAGTGAGAGGCCAGGACACGTACAAAGGGAAGCCCATTGGACTGCCAGCAGTCCTCTCAGTGGAAACCCTACAAGCCAGAAGAGACTGGGGGCTAATATTCAAAATTCTTAAAGAAAAGAAATTCCAATCCAGAATTTCATATCTGGCCAAACCAAGCTTCATAAACAAAAAAGAAATGAGAGCTTTTTCAGACAAGCAAATGCTGAGGGAAATCGTTAGCACCAGACCTGCCTTACAAGAGTTCCTAAAGGAAGAACTAAATATGGAAAGGAAAGATCATTACCAGCCACTACAAAAACATGCTGAAGTACACAGACCACTGACACTATAAAGCAACCACGTAAACAAGTCTGCAAAATAGCAAGCTAACATGACACGATCAAATCTACACATATCAATACTAACCTTAAATGTAAATAGGCTAAATGCCCCAATTAAAAGACATGGAGTGGCAAGCTAGTTAAAGAATCAAGACCCATTGTTATGCTGTCTACAAGAGACTCATCTCACATGCAGTGACACACATAGGCTCAAAATAAAGTGATGGAGGAAAATCTACCAAGAAAATTGAAAACAGAAAAATGCAGGGGTTGCAGTCCTAGTTTCTGACAAAACAGATGTTAAGCCACAAAGATCAAAAAAGACAAAGAAGGGCATTCATTACATAATGGCAAAGGGTTCAATTCAACAAGAAGACCTAACCATGAGCACCCAGATTCATAAAGCAATTTGTTAGACAACTTCAAAGAGACTTAGACTCCCATACAATAATAGTGGGAGACTTTAACACTCCAATGACAATATTAGACAGATTATCAAGACAGAAAAGTAACAAAGATATTTAGAACCTGAATTCAGTTCTGGGTCAAATGTACATGATAGATATCTACGAATTCTCTACCCCAAAACAACAGAACATACATTCTTCTCATCAGCACATGGTACTGCTCTAAAATCAATCACATAATCAGAAGTAAAACCCTCCTCAGCAAATGCAAAAGAATTGAAATCATAACAGTTCCTCGGACCACAGTATGATCAAATTAGAACTCAAGACTAAGAAATTCACTCAAAACCATACAATTGCATGGAAATTGAATAACCTGCTCCTGAGTGGCTTTTGCATAAATAATAAAATTACGACAAAAATTAAGAAGTTCTTTGGAACCAGTGAGAACAAAAATGCAACATACAAGAATTTCTGTGACACAGCTAAAGCAGTGTTAAGAGGAAAATTTTTAGCACTAAGTGCCCACATCAAAAAGTTAGAAAGATCTCAAGTTAATAACCTAACATCACAACTAAAAGAACTAGAGAGCCAAGAGAAAACAAATTCAAAAACTAACAGAAGACAAGAAATGACCAAAATCAGGCTGAACTGAAGGAGATAGAGACACACACACACACACAAAAAAAAAAAAAATTCAAAAAATGAGCAAGTCCAGGGGCTGTTTTATTTGGAAAAAATAAAAACTAATAAAATAGATAGACTGCTAACTAGACTAATACAGAAGAAAGAATGTTCAAATACAAAAAATCAGAAATTATAAGACAGATATTACTATTGACCACACAAAAATACAAATAAACATTAGAGAATATTATAAACACCACTATGCAAATAAACTAGAAAATCTAGAAAACATGAATAAATTCCTGGACACATTCACCCTCCAAAGGCTGAATCAGGAAGAAATTAAATCCTTGAATGGACCAATAATGAGTTGTGAAATTGAAGCAGTGGTAAATCGCTTACCAAAAACAACAACAACAAAAAAAAAAAAAAAAAAAAAAGCTCAGAACAAGATGGATTTACAACTGGATTTTACCAGATGTACAAAAAAGAGCTGGTACCATTTCTGCTGAGACTGTTCCCAAGAATTGAAAAGGAGGGACTCCTCTCTAGCTCACTCTATGAGGCCAGCATCAACCTGGTACCAAAACCTGGCAGAGATACAACAAAAACAGAAAACTTTAGGCAAATATTCTTGAGGAACATTGATGCAAAAATCCTCAAAAACTACTGGCAAACAGAATCCAGCAACACATCAAAAGCATATCCACATAATCAAGTAGGCTTCATCCCCAGGATGCAAGGTTGATTCAACCTACACAAATCAATAAATGTGATTCATCACATAAGCAGAACTAAAGAAAAAAGACGCATGATTATCTCAATAGATGCAGAATAGGCCTTCAATAAAATTCAACATCACTTCAGGTTAAAAACTCTCAATAAAGTGATATTGAAGGAAGAAACATACCTCAAAGTGATAAGAGCCATCTATGACAAACCCACAGCCTCCATTATACTGACTGGGCAAAAGCTGGAAGCATTCACCTTGAAAATCAACACAAGACAAGAATGGCCTCTCTCAACACTCCTTTTCAACATAATATTGGAAGTTCTGGCCAGAACAATCAGGCAAGAGAAAGGAATAAAGGGCATCAAATAGTAAGACAGGAAGTCAAACTATCCCTGTTTCAGATGACATAACCCTATATCTAGAAAATCCCATTTTCTCAGCCTAAAGCCTTCTTAAGCTGATAAGCAATTTCAGAAAGTCTCAGAATACAGAATCGATGGGCAAAAATTGCTAGCATTCCTATGCATCAACAGCAGTGAAGCCAAGAGTCAAATCCTGAATGAACTCCCATTCATAATTGCCACAAAAATAATAAAATATCTAGGAGTACAGCTAACTAGGGAGATGAAAGCTCTCTACATGAATTACAAACCACTGCTCAAAGAAATCAGAGAGGACACATACAAATGAAAAATCATTTCATGCTCATAGATAGGAAGAATCAATATTGTGAAAATGGCCATACTGTCCAAAGCAATTTATAGATTCAATGCTATTCCCATTAAGCTGTCATTGATATTCTTCACAGAATTAGAAAAAAAAACTATTTTAAAATTTATATGGAACCACAAAAAGAGTCTGAATAGCCAAGGCAATCTTAAGCAAAAAGAACAAAGCCACGGGCATCACACTACCCAACTTCAAACCATACTACAGGGCTACAGTAACAAAAACAGCATAGTACCGGTACAAGAAGAGACACATAGACCAATGGAAGAAAATAGAAAACCCAGAAGTAAGACAGCACATCCTACAGATACCTGATCTTCAACAAACCTGACAAAAACAAACAATGGGCAAAAGGCTCCCTATTCAATAAATGGTGCTGGAATAACTGGCTAGCCATATGCAGAAGATTGAAACTAGACCCCTTCCTTACAACATATACAAAAATTAACTCAAGATAAATTAAAGAGTTAAATGTAAAGCCCAAAACTATAAGAACCCTGCAAGACAACATAGGCCATACCATCATGGACATAGGAATAAGCAAAGATTTTATGATGAAAACACCAAAAGCATTTGCAACAAAAGCAAAAAAATGATAAGTGGGATCTAATTAAGCTTAACCACTTCTAAACAGCAAAAGAAACTATCAACAGAGTAAACAGACAACATACAGGAGAAAATTTTTGTCAACTATGCATCTGACAAAGGTCTAACATCTAGCATCTATAAAAAACTTCAACAAATTGACAAGAGAAATAAACCATTAAAAAACAGGCAGAGGACATGGACAGACACTTCTCAAAAGAAGACCTGCATGCAGCTAAGAAGCATATGAAAAAAAAAAAAAAGCTCAGCATCACTGATCATTAGAGAAATGCAAATCAAAACCACAATGAGATACCATCTACACCAGTAAGAATAGCTGTTTTAAAAAAGTCAAAAAATAACCGATGCTGGTGAGGCTGTGGAGAAAAAGGAACACTTATACTCTGTTGGTAAAAGTGTAAATTAGTTAAATCATTGTGGAGGATAGCATAGTGATTCCTCAAAGACCTAAAGACAGAAATACCATTTGACCCAGCAATCCCATTACTTAGTATATACCCAAAGGAATATAAATCATTCTATTATAAAGACACATGCATCTATATGTTCATTGCAGCACAATTCACAATAGCAAAGCCATGGAATCAACTTAAATGCCCATCACTGGATAAAGAAAATGTGGTACATATGCACAGTTGGATTACATATATACACATATACATATATACATATATTTGGAATACATATACACAATGGAATACTATGCAGCCATAAAAAAGAATGAGATCATGTTCTTTGTAGGAACATAAATGGAGCTGGAAGCCATTATCCTTAGCAAACTAACACAGAAACAGAAAACCAAATACCACATGTTCTCATTTATAAGTGGGAAGTAAATAATGAGAACACAGGAACACATAGAGGAAAACAACACACACTGGGGATTATCAGAGGGTGGAGCATGATGGGAGGGAGAGGATCAGGAAAAATAACTATTGGGTACTAGGCTTAATACCTGAGTGATAAAATAATGTGTACAACAAATCTCCATGACACATATTTACCTATGTAACAAACCTGCATGTCTACCCCTGAATTTAAATAAAAGTGTTTTTTAAAAGACATAGAGCTGGCTGAATGGATTTTTTAAAAAAAGACCCATTGATCTGTTGCCTAAAAGAAATTCACTTCAACTATAAAGACAGACATATACTGAAAATAAAAGAGTGGAAAAAGATATTCCATGCAAATGGAAATGAATAAAGGGCAGAGTAGCTATACTTACATGAGGCAAAATAGAATTCAAAACAAAAACTATAAGAAGAGACCAAGAAGGTCACTATATAATTATGAAGTGCTCAATTCTGTAAGAGAATATAACAATTTTAAATATATATGCACTAAACACTGAAGCACCCTAATATATAAGGAAAATATTATTAGAGCTAAAGAGAGAGCTAGGCCCCAATACAATAATAGCTGGACACTTCAGCACCCTACTTTCAGAACTGAACAGATTGTCCAGACAGAATATATACAAAAAAAAAATTGAACTTAATCTATACTACAGACCAAATTGATCTAATAGATATTTATGGAACAGTTCATCCAATGCCCACAGAAAACACATTTTTCTCCTCAGCACGTGGATCATTCTCAAGGACATTCTATATGTTAGGTCAAAAAATAAGTCTTGAAACATTCAAAAAAATTGAAATAATGTGAAGCATCTTCTCTGACTACAATGGAATTAAACTAGAAATTAAAATAATGGGAATTTTTGACATTATACAAATAAATGAATATTAACCAATATGCTCCTGAATGACCAGTGGGTCAATGAAGAAATTAAAAAGAAAATTTTAAAATTTCTTGAAACAAATAATAATGGAAACACAGCATAACAAAACCTATGGGATACAGCAAAAGCAGAACTCAGAGGAAAATTTATAGCCATAAATGCCTACATCAGAACAGAAGAAAAACTTTAAGTAAACAACTGAACAATGCATCTTAAAGAACTAGAAAAGCAAGAGCAAACCAAACCCAAAATTAGTAGAAGAAATAATAAAGATCAGAGCAGAAATAAATGAATTTGAAATAAGGAAATAATACAAAAGATCAATGAAATGAACAGGTGGTTTTTTGAAAAGTTAAAGAAAATAGACAAAGCTTTAGCCAGACTAAGAAAAAAAGGGAGAAGATCCAGATTTTAAAAATCAGCAATGAAAAAGGAGACATTAAAACTGATACTGCAGGCAATGGCTCATGCCTGTAATCCCAGCACTATGGGAGGCCAAGGTAAGAGGATCACTTGAGGTCAGGAGTTCGAGACCAGCCTGGCCACATGGCAAAACCCCACTTCTACTAAAAATACAAAAATTAGCCATGCGTGGTTGTGCATGCCTGTAATCCCAGCTACACAGCTACACAGGAGGCCAAGGCAGGAGAATTGCTTGAATCTAGGAGGCGGAGGTTGCAGTGAGCCAAGATCATGCCACTGCACTCCAGCCTAGGTGACAGAGCTGGACTTAGTCTCAAAAAAAAAAAAAAAGAACAAAAAAAAAAAACAAAAAAAAAACCTGATACTGCAAAAATCCAAAAGATCTTTAGTGGTTTCCATGAGCAATGATATGTCAATAAATTAGAAAATCCTGGACAACTTACCAAAATTGAACCATGAAGAAATCCAAAACCTCAACAAGCCAGTAACAAGTAATAAGATTGACACCATAATAAAAAGTTTCCCAGAAAAGAAAAGGCCAGTAACCTAAGGTTTACTGCTGAATTATACCAAACATATAAAAAGAACTAATACAATCCTACACAAACTATTCTAACAAATAGAGAAGGGAATACTTCCAAACTCATTTGATAAGGCCAGTATTATCTTGATACCAAAACCAAAGACACATCAAAGCAAGAAAACTACAGGCCAATATCTCAGATGAGTACTGATGCAAAAATCCACAGCAAAATACTAGCAGACCAAATTCAACAATACATTTAAAATGTCATTCATTATGATCAAGTGGGATTTATCCCTGGGATGCAAGGATGGTTCAACATATGCAAATCCATGAACACGATGCATCTTAACAACAGAATGAAAGATAAAAATCATATAATCATTTCAATTGATACAGGAAAAGCATTTGATAAAATTTGATATCAATTCATGATAAAAAAAATCCTAAAAATGGGGTATAGATAAAACATGTCTCAACATAATAAAAGCCATATACAACAGACCTGCAGCTAGTATCATACTGAATGGGGAAAAACTGAAAGCCTTATCCCTAAGATCCGGGGACAAAACAAGGATGCCCACTTTCACCACTGTTATTCAACATAGTACTGTAAGTCCTGCCTAGAGCAGACAAGAGAAAGAAATAGAGGGCATCCAAATTGGAAAGGAAGAAGTCAAATTGTCCTTGTTTACAGATTATAAAATCTTATAATTGTTTGAAAAAAACTAAAGACTTTGTCAAAAAAAACTATCAGAACTGTTAAATTCAGTAAATTTGCAGGATACAACATAAACATACAAAAATAAAGAGCATTTCTATAGGCCAACAGCAGGCAATCCAAAAAGAAAGAAAAAAGTAATGCCATTTACAATAGCCACACTTAAAATTAAATATCTAGGAATTAATGAAGGTGAAAGATGTCCCTAACGAACATGTGAAAACACTGATGAAAAACATAGAAGAGGACACCAAAAAATAGAAAAATATTTCATGCTCATGAAGTTGAAGAATCATTATTGTTAAAATGTCCATACTATACAAAGCAAGCTACAGATTCAATACAATTCCTATCAAAATAACAATGACATTATTCACAAAAATAGAAAAACAATCCTAAAATTTATATGAAACTGAAAAGGACCCAGAATGGCAAAAGATATCCTAAGAAAAAATAACAAAACTGGAGTAATCATATTACCTGACTTCAAATTATACTACAGAGCTATAGTAACCAAAACAGCATTGTACTGGCATAAAAACAGACACACACATTAATGGAACATAAGAGAGAATGCAGACACAAATGCACACAATTACAGTGAACTCATTTTTCAAAAAGCTGCCAAGAACACAAGCTGGGGAAAAGACAGTCTCTTCAATAAATTGTGCTGGGAAAACTGGATATCCACATGCAGAAGAAGGAAACTAGACCCCTACCTTTTGCCATATACAAAAATCAAATCAAAATGGACTAAAGACTTAAATCTAAGAACGCAAACTGTGAAACTATTACAAGAAAACATTGGAGAAGATCTCCAGGTCATTGGTCTGGGCAAATATTTCTTGAGCAATACCCCACAAGCACAGGCAACCAAACCAAAAATGGACAAATACGGTCACATCAAGTTTAAAAGTTTCTACCAAGCAATGGATAAAATCAATGAAGTGAAGAGACAAACCACAGAATGGGAGAAAACATTTGCAAACAACCCATCTGACAAAGGACTAATAAGCAGAAGATATAAGTAGCTCAAACAACTGTATAGGAAAAAAATATAATAATCTAATCAAAAATGATGAAAAATTTGAATAGACATTTCTCAAAAGAAGACATATAAATGGCAGACATATGAAAAACTGCTTAACATCATTGATCATCAGAGAAATGCTAATCCAAACTACAATGAGATATCGTCTCACCCCAACTAAAATGGCATATATCCAAAAGACAGACAATAACAAATGCTGGAGAGGATGTGGACAAAAGGAAACCCTTGTACACTGTTGGTGGAAATGTATGTTAGTACAACAACCATGAAGAATAGTTTGGAGATTTCTCAAAATCTGAAAATAGAGCTACCATGTGATCCAGAAATTTCACTGCTGGTTACATACCCCCCAAAAAAGCAAACTAGTATATTGAAAAGATATCTGCCCTCCCATGTTTTGTTTTTTTTGTTTTTTGTTTTTTGTTTTGCAGCACCATTCACAAGAGCTATTAATAAAATTTGGAAGCAACCTAAGTGTCCATCAACAGATGAATGGATAAAGAAAGTGTGCTACATGTACACAATAGAGTACTATTCAGCCATAAAAGAATGAGGTCCTGTCATTTGCAACAACATTGATAAATTATGATCATTATGTTAAGTGAAATAAGCAGGCATAGAAAGACAAACATTGCATATTCTCACTTATTTCTGGGATGTAAAAATCAAAACACTTAAATTCATGGATGTAGAGAGTAGAAGGATGGTTACCAGAGGGTGAGATGAGTAATGGGGGTAGGGGGGCCGTGGGGACAGTTACTGGGTACAAAAAAAATAGAATGAATGAATAGGACATACTATTTGATAGGACAACAAGGTGACTATAGTCAAATAATAATTGTACATTTAAAACAGCTGAAACAGTGTAACTGGATTGTTCATAACACTAAAGATATCCCACTCTCACTGATGTGATTATTACAGATTGCATGCCTATCATGTTTTATCAGAGACTGGGATTGCAACCCCTGCTTTTTTTTTATTTTCCATTTGCTTGGTAGATCTTCCTCCATCCCTTTATTTTGAGCCTGTGTGTGTCTCTGTACATGAGATGGGTCTCCTGAATACAGCACACTGATGGGTCTTGACTCTTTATCCAATTTGCTAGTCTGTATCTTTTGTAAATTGGAGCATTTAGCCCATTTATATTTAAGGTTAATGTTGTTATGTGTGAATTTGATCCTGTCAAATGATCCTTATGATGTTAGCAGGTTATTTTGCTCGAATGAACTTTTTGTTTCATTGATCTTTTGTCTTGTTTTCTTCATTTTAATTTCATTTATTTCTACTCTGATCTATAATATTTCTTTTATTCTACTAATTTGGGGGCTTGGTTTGCTCTTGCTTTTGTAATTCTTTAATATGCATCAATTAGGTTGCCTATGTTAAGTTTTTCTCCCTCTTTTTTTTTTTTTTTTTGATGTAGGCACTTATGGCCATAAATTTTCCTCTTACTACTGTTTTACTGTATCCCATAGGTTTTGGTGTGTTTTGTTTCCATTATCATTTGTTTCAAGACATTTTTCCATTTCTTTCTTAATTTCTTTATTGACCCACTAGCCATTCAGGAGCATATTGTTTTTAATTTTGATATGTTTGTATGTTTCCAAAATTTCTCTTATTATTAATTTGTAGTTTTATTCCATTGTGATCAGAGAAGATGCTTAATATAATTCCAAGCTTTTTAAATTTTTAGAGACTTGTTTTGTGGCCTGACATATGGCCCATCCTTGACAATGATCCATGTGCTGAGGAGATGAATGTGTTTTCTGCAGCCAATGGTTGAAATGTTCTATAAATATCTATTAGGTCTATTTGGACTATAGTGCATACTAAGTCTGATATGTCTTTATGGATTTTCTCTCTAGAAGTTCTATCCAATGCTGAAAGTGGGGTGTTGAAGTCTCGAACTATTACTGTACCGGGGTTATGTTTCCTTTGCTCTGATAATATTTGCTGTACACATCTGTGTGCTCCAGTGTTGGGTGCATGTATATCTACAACTGTCATATCCTCTTGCTAAAGTGACCTCTTTATCAGCATATAATAATCTTCTTTGTCTCTTCGTATAGGTTTTGCCTTAAAATCTAATTTTTCTGATATAAGTATAGCTACTACTGCTTTTTTGTTTTCCTGTGGAATGCAATATCTTTTTCCATCCTTTTATTTTTAGTTTATATGTATCTTTATAGGTGAAGTGTGTTTCTTCTAGGCAACAGAACAATTGGTCCTGTTTTTCATTCATTCAGCCACTCTATGTCTTTTGATTGGAGATTTTACACCATACACATTCAATGTTATTATTGATAAGTAAGAACTCACTCCTGCCAGTTTGATATTAGTCTCCTGGTTGTTTAGTGGTCTTCTCTTCCTTCTTTCCTTCCTTCCTGTCTTCCTTTTAGTGAAGGTTATTTTCTCTTTTGATATAATTTACTTTCTTCCTTTTTATTCTTGTGTACCCATTGTATTTTTTTTAATTTCACGTATGATATGGTTTAGCTGTGTCCTCACCAAAATCTCATCTTGAATTCCCACATGTTGTGGGAGGGACCTATGGGAGGTAATTGAATCATGGGGGCAGGTATTTTCCATGCTGTTCTCATGATAGCAAATAAGTCTCATGAGATCCGATGGTTTTAAAAAGGGGAGTTTCCCTGAACAAGCTCTCTTCTCTTGTGTGCTACCATGTGAGATATACCTTTCACCTTCCACCATGATTGTGAGAGCTCTCCAGCCACGTGGAATTCTAAGTCCAATTAAACTTCTTTCTTTTGTAAATTGCCCAGTCTTGGGTACATATTTATCAGCAGTGTGAAAACAGACTAATACAGTAAATTGGTACCAGGAGCTGGGCGCTGCCAAAGATACCTGAAAATGTGGAAGCAACTTTGGAACTGGGTAACAGGCAGAGAATGGAAAAGTTTGGAGGGCTCAAAAGAAGACAGAAAAGTGTGGGAAAGTTTGAAACTTCCTAGAGACTTGTGGAATAGCTTTGACCAAAATGCTGATAACGATGTGGACAATGAAATCCATGCTGAGGTGGTCTCAGATGGAGATGAGGAACTTGTTGTGAACTGGAGCAAAGGTTACTCTTGTTATGTTTTAGCAAAGAGACCAGTGGCATTTCACTCCTACCCTAGAGATCTGTGGGACTTTGCACTTGAGAGAGATAATTTAGGGTATCTGGTGAGAGAAATTTCTAAGCAGCAAAGCATTCAAGAGGTGACTTGGGTGCTGTTAAAGGCATTTGGTTTTAAAAGGGAAACACAGCATAAAAATTTGGAAAATTTGCCACCTGACAATTTGATAGAAAAGAAAATTCCATTTTCTGAGGAGAAATTCAAGCTGGCTGCAAAAATATGCATAAGTAATGAGGAGTCAAATATTAATCATCAAGGCAATGAAGAAAATGTCTCCAGGGCATGTCAGAGACCTTTGTGGCAGCCCCTCCCATCACAGGCCCAAAGGTTTAGGAGGAAAAAATGGTTTTGTGGGCCAGGGCCAGGGTCCCTCTTATGTGTGCAATCTAAGGACTTGGTGCCCTGCATCCCAGCCACTCCAGCCATGACTAAAAGGGGCCAAGGTATAGTTTGGGCTGTTGCTTCAGAGGGTGGAAGCCCCAAGTGTTGGAAGTTTCCATGTGGTGTTGAGCCTTTGGGTGCACAGAAGTCAAGAACTGAGGTTTGGGAATCTCCACCTAGATTTCATAGCATGTATGAAAAAGCCTGAATGCCCAGGCAGAAGTTTGCTGCAGGGGCAGAGGCCTCATGGAGAACTTCTGCTAGGGCAGTGTAGAAGGGAAATGTGGGGCCAGAGCCCCCACACAGAGTCCATAGTGGGGCATTGCCTAGTGGAGCTGTGAGAAGAGGGCCACTGTCCTCCAGATTCCGGAATGGTAGATCCACCAATAGCTTGCACTATGCACCTGGAAAAGCCACAGACACTCAATGCCAGCCTATGAAAGCAGCCAGGAGTGGGGCTATAACCTGCAAAGCCACAGGGGCAGAGCTTCCCAAGGCCATGGAAGGCTACCTCTTGCATCAGGGTGACCTGGATGTGAGACCTAGAGTCAAAGGAGATCATTTTGGAGCTTTAAGATTTGACTGCCCCTCTGGATTTCAGACTTGCTTGGGGCCTGTAGCCCCTTTGTTTAGGCCAATTTTTTCCATTCGAAATGGCTGTATTTACCCAATGCATGTACCCCCATGGTATCTAGGAAGTAACTAACTTGCTTTTGATTTTACAGACTCATAGAAAAAGGGACTTGCCTTGTCTGGAATGAAACTTTGGACTATGGACTTTTGAGTTAATGCTGAAATGAGTTAAGACTTTGGAGAACTGTTGGGAAGGCATGATTGGTTTTGAAAGGTGAAGACATGAGATTTCAGAGGGGTCAGCGGTGAAATGATGTGGTTTGCCTCTGTGTCCCCACCCAAATCTCATCTTGAATTCCCATGTGCTGTGGGAGGGACCCAGTGGGAGGTAACTGAATCATGGGGGCAGGTCTTTTCTGTGCTGTTCACATGATAGTGAATAAGTGTCACAAGATCTGATGATTTTTAAAAGTGGAGTTTCACTGCACAAGCTTTATTCTCTTGTCTGCTGCCATGTGACATGTGCCTTTCACTTTGCACCATGATTGTGAGGCCTCCCCAGAGAAGTGGAACTGTAAGTCCAATTAAACCTCTTTCTTTTGTAAATTGCCCAGTCTCAGGTATGTCTTATCAGCAGTGTGAAAACGAACTAATACAAGACACTATGAGGATTGCAAGTACTTTCTTATATCCCATGATTGTACAGCTGATAACAACTTAATACTCTTTGCATATACAAACAAGCAAGCAAAAAACAACAACAACAAAAACTCTACATGTTAACTTTATCCACCCCCCAACTTTTAAACTTTGTGTTGTTTCTATTTGCATCTTTTATTGTACCATTTATTTCTTCAAAAGTTGCTGTAGTTATTTTTTTTGATTGATTCATATTTTAGTTTTCTACGTAAGAGAAGTTTACACACCATAGTTACAGTGTTATAATATTCTCTGTTCTTCTGTGTACTATTACCAGTGAGTTTTGCACCTTCAGGTGATTACTCATTACTCATTAATGACCTTTTTTTCTGATTGAAAAAATCCCTTTAGCATTTCTTGTAGGACAGGTCTTGTGTTGGAATACCTCAGCTTTTGTTTGTCTGGGAAAGTCTTTATTTCTCCTTCATGTTTGAAGTATATTTTCACCAGATATACTCTTCTAGGGTAAAAGTTCTTTCTTTAGAACTTTAAATATGTCATGCCACTCTCTCCCAGCCTGTAAGATATACACTGAAAAGCTTGCTGTCAGACATACTGGAGCTCCACTGTATGTTATTTTATTTTGTTCTCTTGCTGCCTCTAGGATCCTTTCTTTATCATTGATCTTTGGGAGTTTGAATATTGAATGTCTTCAAGAACTCTTCTTTGGGTTAAATCTGCTTGGTGTTCTATACCTTTCTTGTATTTGGATATTGCTATCTTTCTATAGGTTTGGGAAGTTCTCTGTTAGTATACCTTTGAATTAAATTTTCTACTTCTATCTCTTTCTCTATTTCCTCTTTGAGGCCAATAATTCTTACATTTGCCCTTTTGAAGCTATTTTCTAGATCCCATAGGCATGTTTCATGGTTTTTTATTCTTTTCTTTTTTGTCTCCTCTGTGTGTTTTCAAATAGGCTGTCTTCAGGCTCACTAATTCTTTTTTCTGTTGGATTGATTCTGCTATTAAAAGACTCAGATGCACTCTTCAGTATGTCAACTGCGTGTTTCAACTCCAGAATTTCTGATTGATTCTTTTTCATTGTTTCAATCTCTTTGTTAAATTTATCTAATGGAATTCTGAATTCCTTCTCTGTGTTATCTTGGATTTCTTTGAGTTTCCTCATAACAGCTATTTTGAATTCTCTATCTGAAATATCACATATCTCTGTTTCTCCAGAATGTCTCTGGTGCCTTATTGAGTTTGTTCAGTGAGATGATGTTTTTATGAATGGTCTTGATGCTTGTGGATGTTTGTCAGTGTCTATGTATTGAAGAGTTAGGTATTTATTGTAGTCTTTGCAGTCTGGGCTTCTTTTTACCCATCCTTCTTGGGAAGCATTTCCAGGTATTTTAAAGGACATGCATGTTGTGATCTAAGTCATATCTGCATGAGGGGACATTTGAAGCCCACTAATGCCATGCTTCTTGCAGACCTGTAGAGGTACCATCTTGGTGGTAATGAGTAAGACCTGGAAGAATTCCCTGGATTACCAGGCAGAGACTCTTGTCCTCTCCTCTTGCTTTCTCCCTAACAAATAGAGTCCCTCTCTCAGTGCTGAGGCAACCAGAGCTGTGGATGGGGTGACACAAGCACTCCTGTGGCCACCATCACTGAGACTGCACTGGGTCAGACCTGAAGCCAGCACAGTACAGGGTCTTTCCCAAGGCCCACTGTTACCACTACCTGGCTACCACCTATGTGTGCTAAAGGCCCCATTGCTCTATAATCAACAGGTGGTGAAGTTAGCCAGGCTTATGTCCTTCTCTTCAGGGCAGTGAGTTCCCCTGGGCCCTGGGTGGATCAAGAGATGCCATCTTGGGGCCAGGGGCTAGAATAAAAAACCTTAGACATCTACCTGGTATCCTATTCTACTGCAGCTGAGCTGGCACTCAAACCATGAGATGTAGCCACTTCCACTATTTCCTTCCCTTTCCACAGGCAGAGGAGTTTCACCCTGTGACCACCACCATCACAGGCTCATGGTGAGTACTGACAGACTACTGTTAACGTTCATTTAAGACCCAAGGTTTCTTAATTTAGCTTGTGGTGAATGCTGCCAGGCCTAAAAATCATGCTTCAGGGAAGTGGACTCCCTTCTAGTCCAGAGCACATCCAGAAATGCCATCCAAAAGCAAAGGCCTTGAACTGGGGACCCCAAGATTCCACTTAGTGCTCTACACCCCTGTGGCCAAGCTGGTACCTAAGATGCAAGACAAAATCCATTTTACTTTTCCCTCTGCTTTTCTCAAGCAGACGGAGTCTCTTACCACAACCATCACAGTTGGGAAAGTGCTGGGTCTCATCTAAAGCCAGAAAGGCTCAGAGTTTCACCCAAGGCCCATAAGTATTACTGCTAGTTATTCAAGCCCAACGGATCTTTAGTCAGCAGGTGTTGGGTCCCACCAGGATTAGGCCCTTCCCTTCAAGGCAGCAAGTTTCTTTCTGGCCCAGTGTATGTCTAGAAATATTGTCTGGGAACCAGTATCTGGAATGGAGATCTCACATTTCTGTCTGGTGCCCTATCCTACAGTGGCTGAGCTGGTATCCAAAATGAAAGACAAAGTCCTCTTTACTCTTCCCACTCCTCTCTTCAAGCAGAAGGAAGAAATCTCTTTTGGAGCCATAAGTTTTGCAGCCTGGGGTTGAAGGAAGAGTGGTGCAAGCACTCCCTTAGCCACCAAGGCTATTGTCTCAGTAGGTCACGTACCTTCCAAGTTCACTGGTTCTAAGCCCAGCTCACCAGTATGACTCACCTAGGAGTTGCAGTCTTTGTGGCCTAGAATGTCTTTCAAGTTTATTTAGGGCCCCAAGTACTTTAGTCCACAATGGCAAGTTTGCTAGAACTCAAGTTCCAACCACTGGGATGGGTGATTCACCTTCTGCTAAGGCCACTTTGTATGTTCCCTCTGTAGCAGGCATCAGCTGAGTTCAGCCCAGTTTTGCTTTCCACTGTGACAGGGCAGCACTGAGTTCAATGTAATGTCTCAAAACTGCTGTCCTCTCCCTCTCCCAAAGGCACAGATTTTCTCTCAGCACCACACACCTGCTGCCAATGGATGGGGGAGGGATGGTGTTGGCAATTCAGCACTGTTTCCTACCCTATTCAGTGCCTCTTTCAGCGATATGAAGTTACAACCAGGTACTGTGTGTGCTCACCTGATATTTGGTTCTTATGAAGCTGTTTTCTGTATGTAGATAGTTGTTAAATTCGGTGTTCCTGTAGGACAGATAACCAGTGAAGCCTTCTATTTGGCCATCTTGCTCTGCCCCTCTCCAGTAATTACCTTTAATATTAA
Source organism: Homo sapiens (assembly GCF_000001405.40). NCBI lineage: Eukaryota > Metazoa > Chordata > Mammalia > Primates > Hominidae > Homo > Homo sapiens. The sequence continues at coordinate 97,338,442 of NC_000005.10, read as the reverse complement.
TTTTCATTCAAGAAAATAGACCAGATCACCAATTCCATTTTATCCATGCTTCTAAATTAAATAAAATAATTTAATGAGTATTTTTCCCGCCTTCTAGATCACAAAGTTAGTTCAAATAAAATTTTGTAAAAAATAGAAAATTTTCATGTGATATAACAGAAAATTTCAGTTTGTTACTCTTAGAATTAATTTTTATAATGATATTGTAGCATTATATATATTTTAACCATCAAGCTAAGTAGAACTATTCCACCCAAAAAGCAAAGCACTGTTTTAAAATGGGCTAGTTCTCACTAAGTAACATCTGATTCCAATAATTATCCCATCCACCAACTGCAAAGGTAGTATGATTCTTGTTTTGCTTCTACCTATCTTTTCCATCAACTCTTAAAGCACCTACATTTCATACTTCTCAATGGAAATATTGTAATAACTCCTCAACTCCATTCATGATATTTTCCTTTTTTTCATTTTATTAGAACTTCTCTTTTTGTCTTTCCTTTTTAATACGTTTGACCACTGAGTTTTAATTAAAGTTCTAGAATGCCTTGTATTGAACATGTTAATACTGTGTTCAAACCAACTTCTATGTTCCTCAGTGCCTTTACAATAAATGGAAATCTGTTGCAAATTCATTCACACTTGACTTCCAGCCATACTGTCATTAAATCTCTGAACTCTAATCAGGCCAAATGTATCATTTCCCAAACATATGCATACCTATTTTTATCCTCCAATTTTGTGCAAGTGGCTTCATTTATATAATTTGCTGGTTAATTTAACCTGTAAAGTCATACATCTCAGCCTATTTAAGCCTTTGGAGAACCTATCCATCTTTCACAGCCAAACTCAATGCTCACCTTTCTGAAGCTCTATCTGTATTAGTCTTTCCTTCTTCTAAATTACCAAACCATTTTTAAAATTTACCACATTCTGCTTCTTGAAATCCATATTACATTCAAATGTTGGTTTATGATAAAAGTAACTAATAGCGTTTTTCATAAAATAGACTCTCAATAAATTTGTGTGAATTAATGAATTAATTATGTGGACTAGAAATGGTTCATGGGCTGTAAGAGAAACTGTGCCCAACCAGAACTTTGGTAAGAGAAAGCCTGGTGATTCTAATGAAAATGCAACTCTCACGTCTCATTTTTTAAAACTTCATTGCCAAGGGCTAGAAACTTATGTGATTATATTTAAACTTTAATTTTAAAATGAGATTAATTATGCATAAAAATGTAAATATATGTAATCAAGCCTACCTATCAAACAAACACAACAGGTAACAATCAAAATGCAGTCTTTTTGTTCCTATTACTGCTTTACCTTCTAAAAACATTTTCTTAAAAATTTAAAACCCAGAAAGAAGGGGCCAGCCTTCAAGCAACAGCGACCCAAGATGGCAGCCACCAGGGGCTCAGGAGTAAAAGTCCCTTGCAATTTCCAACTGTTGGAAGAACTCAAAGGCCAGAAAGAAGTAGCAGATGGCACAGTTAGCTGGGATCTAGAAGATGAGGAAGATATAACACTTACAAGATGGACAGGGATGATAATTGGGCCTACAAGAATAGTTTATGAAAACTGAGGGGAGTGGCTGGCAAGATGGCTGAATAGGAACAGTTCCGGTCTGCAGCTCCCAGCGAGATCAATGCAGAAGGTGCATGATTTCTGCATTTCCAACTGAGGTACCCAGCTCATCACATTGAGACTGGTTATACACTGTGTGCAGCCCATGGAGGGCAAGCGGAAGAAGGGTGGGGCATCGCCTCACCTGGGAAACACAAGGGGTCAAGGAACTCCCTCCCTTACCCAAGGGAAGCTGTCAGGGACTGTGCCGTGAGGAACAGTGTACTCCAGCCCAGACACTATGCTTTTCCCATAGTCTTCACAACCCACAGGCCAGGAGATTCCTTCAGCTGACTATGCCACCAGGGCACTGGGTTTCAAGTACAAAACTGGGCAGCCGTTTGGGCAGACACCAAGCCAGCTGAAGTTCTTCTTTCAGACCCAAGTGGCACCTGGAACACCAGTGAGACAGAAACGTTCACTCCCCTGGAAAGGGGGCTGACGCCAGGGCCCAAGTGGTCTAGCTCAGCGGATTGCACCCCCACAGAGCCCAGCAAGCCAAGATCCACTGGCTTGAAATTCTCGCTGCCAGAACAGCAGTCTGAAGTTGACCTAGCATGTTTGAGCTTGGTGGGGGGAAGGGCGTTTGCCATTACTGAGGCTTGAGTAGGTGGTTTTCCCCTCATAGTATAAACAAAGCTGCTAGGAAGTTTGAACTGGGCAGAGCCCACCACAGCTCAGCAAAGCAGCTATAGCCAGACTGCCTCTTTAGATTCCTCTTCTCTGGGCAGCATATCTCTTAAAAAAAGTCAGCAGCCCCAGTCAGGGGCTTATAGATAAAACCCCCATCTCCCTGGGACAGAGCACCTGAGGAAAGGGGAGGCTGTGGAGCAGCTTCAGAAGACTTAAACATCCCTGCCTGCTGGCTTTGAAGAGAGCAGCCCCACATGGCGTTTGAGCTCTGCTGAGGGACAGACTGCCTCCTCAAGTGGGTCCCTGAACCCCGTGCCTTCTGACTGGGAGACACCTCCCAGCAGGGGTTGACAGACACCTCATACAGGATTGCTCCAGCTGGTACCTGGTGGGTGCCCCTCTGGGACAAAGCTTACAGAGGAAGGAATATGCAGCAATTTTTGCTGTTCTGCAGCCAACACTGGTAATACCCAGGCAAACAGGGTCTGGAGTGAACCTCCAGCAAACTCCAGCAGACCTGAAGCAGAGGGGCCTGACCGTAAAAGGAAAACTAACAAACAGGAAGGAATAGCATCAACATCAAAAAGGATGTCCACTCAGAAACCCCATCCAAAGGTAGATAAATCAAAGACCAAAGGTAGATAAATCCACAAAGATAAGGAAAAATCAGTACAAAAAGGCTGAAAATTCCAAAAACCAGAATGCCTCTTCTCCTCCAAAGGATCACAACTCCTCTCCAGCAAGGGAACGAAACTGGACGGAGAATAAGTTTAACAAATTGACAGAAGTAGGCTTCACAAGGTGGGTAATAACAAATTCCTCCAAGCTAAAGGAGCATGTTCTAACCCAATGCAAGGAAGATAAGAATCTTGAAAAATGTTAGATGAATTGCTAAGTAGAATAACCAGTTTAGAGAAGAACATAAATGACCTGACGGAGCTGAAAAACAGCACAAGAACTTCGTGAAGCATACACAAGTATCAATAGCTGAATCAACCAAGCTGAAGAAAGGATATCAGAGATTGAAGATCAACTTAATGAAATGAAGCATGAAGGCAAGATTAGAGAAAAAAGAATGAAAAGGAATGAACAAAGCCTGCAAGAAATATGGGACTATGTGAAAAGACCACACCTACATTTGATTGGTATACATGAAAGTGACAGGGAGAATGGAACCAAGTTGGAAAACACTCTTCAGGATATTGTCCAGGAGAACTTCCCCAACCTAGCAAGACAGGCCAACATTCAAACTCAAAAATTACAGAGAACACCATAAAGATAATGCTCAAGAAGTGCAACCCCAAGACACATAATTGTCAGATTCACCAAGGTAGAAATGAAGGAAAAAATGTTAAGGGCAGCCAAAGAGAAAGGTCAGGTTACCCACAAAGGAAAGCCCATCAGACTAACAGTGGATCTCTCTGCAGAAACCCTACAAAACAGAAGAGAGTGGGGGGCAATATTAAACATGCTTAAAGAGAAGAATTTTCAATCCAGAATTTCATATCTGGCCAAACTAAGCTTCATAAATGAAGGAGAAATAAAATCCTTTACACACAAGCAAATGCGGAGAGATTTTGTCAGCACCAGGCCTGTCTTCAAGATCCTCTGAAGGAAGCATTAATACGGAAAGGAAAAGATGGTACCAGCTACTGCAAAAGCATACCAAAGTGTAAAGACCATCGACACTATGAAGAAACTGCACCAACTAACTGGCAAAATAACCAGCTAGCATCATAATGATGGGATCAAATTCACATATAACAATATTAACCTTAAATGTAAATAGGATAAATGCCCCAATTAAAAGACAGAGACTGGCAAATTGGATAAAGAGTCAAGACACATCAATGTGCTATATTTAGGAGAGCCATTTTATGTGCAAAAACACACATAGGCTCAAGATAAAGGGATGGAGGAATATTTACCAACCACATGGAAAGCAAAAAAAGCAGAGGTTGCAATCCTAGTCTCTGAAAAAACAGACTTTCAGCCAATAAATATGAAAAGAGACAAAGAAGGGCACTACATAATGGTAAAGGGATCAAGACAACAAGAAGAGCTAACTATTCTAAACATATATGCACCCAATATAGGAGCACCCAGATTCATAAAGCAAGTTCTTAGAGACCTACAAAGAGACCTTGACTCTCACACAATAATAGTGGGAGACTTTAACACCTCACTGACAATATTAGAGAGATCAATGAGACAGAGAATTAACAAGGATATTCAGGACTTGAACTCAGCTCTAGACCAAGCAGACCTAATAGACATCCACAGAACTCTACACTCCAAATCAACAGAATATACATTCTTCTCACCAACACATTACACTTATTCTAAAATTGACCACATAATTGGAAGTAAAACACTCCTCAGCTACAGTAACCAAAACAGCACGGTACTGGTACCAAAACAGAGATACAGACCAATGGAACAGAACAGAGCCCTCAGAAATAATGCTGCATATCTACAACTATCTGATCTTTGACAAACCTGACAAAAACAAGAAATGGGGAAAGGATTCCCTATTTAATAAATGGTGCTGGGAAAACTGGATAGCCATATGTAGAAAGCTGAAACTGGATCCCTTCCTTACATCTTATACAAAAATTAATTCAAGATGGATTAAAGATTTAAATGTTAGACCTAAAACCATAAAAACCCTAGAAGAAAACATAGGCAATATGATTCAGGACATAGGCATGGAACCAAAACACCAAAAGCAATGTCTAAAACACCAAAAGCAATGGCAACAAAAGCCAAAATTGACAAACGGGATCTAATTAAACTAAAGAGCTTCTGCACAGCAAAAGAAACTACCATCAGAGTGAACAGGCAACCTACAGAATGGGAGAAAAGTTTTGCAAACTACTCATCTGACAAAGGGCTAATATCCAGAATCCACAATGAACTCAAACACATTTACAAGAAAAAAACAAACAACCCCATCAAAAAGTGGGCAAAGGATATGAACAGACACTTCTCAAAAGAAGACATTTATGCAACCAAAAGACACATGAAAAAATGCTCATCATCACTGGCCATCAGAGAAATGCAAATCAAAACCACAATGAGATACCATCTCACACCAGTTAGAATGGCGATCATTCAAAAGTCAGGAAACAACAGGTGCTGGAGAGGATGTGGAGAAATAGGAACTCTTTTACACTGTTGGTGGGACCGTAAACTAGTTCAACCATTGTGGAAGTCAGTGTGGCGATTCCTCAAGGATCTAGAACTAGAAATACCATTTGACCCAGCCATCCCATTACTGGGTATATACCCAAAGGATTATAAAATGTGATGCTATAAAGACACATGCACACATATGTTTATTGTGGCACTATTCACAATAGCAAAGACTTGCAACCAACCCATATGTCCAACAATGAGAGACTGGATTAAGAAAATGTGGCACACATACACCATGGAATACTATGCAGCCATAAAAATGGATGAGTTCATGTCCTTTGTAGGGACATGGATGAAGCTGGAAACCATCATTCTCAGCAAACTATCACAAGGACAAAAAACTAAACTCCGCATGTTCTCACTCACAGGTGGCAATTGAACAATGAGAACACATGGACACAGGAAGGGGAAAATCACACACCAGGGCCTGTTGTGGGGTGGGGGGAGGGGGGAGGGATAGCATTAGGAGACATACCTGATGTTAAATGAAGAGTTAATGGGTTCAGCACACCAACATGGCACACGTATACATATGTAACAAACCTGGACATTGTGCACATGTACCCTAAAACTTGAAGTATAATAAAAAAAGATAAACAAACAAATAAATAAAAACACTCCTCAACAAATGCAAAACAATGAAAATCATAACAAACTGTCACTCAGACCACAGTGCAATCAAATTAGAACTGAGAATTAAGAAACTCACTCAAAACCACACAACTACATGGAAACTGAAAAACCTGCTCCTGAATGACTACTGTGTAAATAACAAAATTAAGGCAGAAATAAATAAGTTCTTTGAAACCAATGAGAACAAAGACACAATGTACCAAAATCTCTGGGACACAGCTAAAGCAGTGTTTAGAGGAAAATTTATAGCATTAAATGCCCACAAAAGAAAGCATGAAAGATCTAAAATTGACACTGTAACATCACAATTAAAATTAACTAGAGAAGCAAGAGCAAACATATTCAAAAGCCAGCAGAAGACAAGAAATAAATAAGATCAGAGCAGAACTGAAGGATATAGAGACAAGAAAAACTCTTCAAAAAAATCAATGAATCCAGGAGCTGGTTTTTTGAAAAGATCAACAAAATAGATAGACTGCTAGCCAGACTAATAAGAGAGAAGAATCAAATAGACACAATAAAAAATAATACAGTGGCTATCACCACAGATCCCACAGGAATACAAACTACCATCAGAGTATATTATAAACACCTCTACCCAAATAAACTAGAAAATCTAGAAGAAATGGATAAATTCCTGGACACATACACCCTCCCAAGTCAAAACCAGGAAGAAGTCAAATCCCTGAATAGACCAATAAAAAGTTCTGAAATTGAGGCAGTATATAATAGCCTACTAATAAAAAAAAGTCCAGGACCAGATGGATTCACAGCAGAATTCTAACAGAGGTACAAAGAGTAGCTGGTACCATTCTTTCTGAACCATTCCAAACAATAGAAAAAGAGGGAATGCTACCTAACTCATTTTATAAGGCCAGCATCATCCTGATACCAAAACCACAGACACAACAAAGAAAGAAAATTTCAGGCCAATATCCCTGATGAAATCAATGCAAAAATCCTCAATAAAATCCTGACAAACCAAATCCAGCAGCACATCAAAAAGCTAATCCACCACAATCAAGTTGGCTTCATCCCTGAGATGGAAGTCTGGTACAACATACACAAATCAATAAATGTAATCCATCACATAAACAGAACCAATGACAAAAAACACATTATCTCAATAGATGCATAAAAGGCCTTTGACAAAATTCAACAGGTCTTCATGCCAAAAAAACTCTCAATAAACTCGGTATTGATGAAACGTATGTTAAATTAATAAGAGCTATTTAGAACAACCCCACAGCCAATATCATACTGAATGGGCAAAAACTGGAATCATTCCCTGTGAAAACCGTCAGAAGACAAGGATGCCCTCTCTGGCCACTCCTATTCATCATAGTATGGGAGTTCTGGCCAGGGCAATCAGGCATGAGAAAGAAAGAGAGGGTATTCAATTAGGGAAAGAGGAAGTCAAGTTTTCTCCTTTTGCAGATGGCATGATTATATATTTAAACCCCATTGTCTCAGCCCAAAGTCTCCTTAAGCTGATAAGCAACTTCAGCAAAGTCTCAGGATACCAAATCAATGTGCAAAAATCACAAACATTCCTACACACCAATAATAGAGAGCCAAATCATGAGTGAACTCCCATTCACAATTGCTTCAAAGAGAATAAAATACCTATGAATCTAACTTATAAGGGATGTGAAGGACCTCTTCAAGGAGAACTACAAACCACTGCTCACGGAAATAAGAGAGGACACAAACAAATGGAAGAACATTCCATGCTTATGGATAGGAAGAATCAATATCAAGAAAATGGCCATACTGCCCAAGGTAATTTATAGACTCAATGCTATCCCCATCAAGCTACCAATGACTTTCTTCACAGAATTAGAAAAAAACTACTTTAAAGTTCATATGGAACCAAAAAAGAGCCTGTATAGCCAAGACAATCCTAAGCAAAAAGAACAAAGCTGGAGGCAACATGCTACCTGACTTCAACCTATACTACAAGGCTACAGTAACCAAAATAGCATGGTACTGGTACCCAAACAGATACACAGACCAATGGAACAGAACAGAGGCCTCAGAAATAACCACACATTTACAACCATCTGATCTTTGACAAACCTGACAAAAACAAGCAATGGGGAAAGGATCCCCTATTTAATGAATGATGTTGGGAAAACTGGCTAGCCATGTGCAGAAAACTGAAACTGGATCCCTTCCTTAAACCTTATACAAAAATAAACTCACGATGGAGTAAAGACTTAAATGTAAAACCTAAAACCATAAAAACCCTAGAAAAAAACCTAGGCAATACCATTCAGAACACAGGAATGGGTGAAGACTTCATGACTAAAACACCAAAAGCAATGGCAACAAAAGCCAAAATAGACAAATGGGATCTAATTAAACTAAAGGGCTTCTGTACAGCAAAAGAAACTATCTTCAGAGTGAACAGGCAACCAAAGAATGGGAGAAAATTTTTGCAATCTATCCATCTGATAAAGGGCTAATATCCACAATCTACAAAGAACTTAAACAAATTTACAAGAAAAAAAATCCCATCAAAAAGTGGGCGAAGGATATGAATAGACACTCGTCAAGAGAAGACATTTATGCAGCCAACAAACATATGAAAACAAGCTCATCATCAATGGTCATTAGAGAAATGCAAATCAAAACCACAATGAGATACCATCTAACGCCAGTTAGAATGGCGATCATTAAAAAGTCAGGAAACCACAGCTGCTGAAGAGGATGTGGAGAAATAGGAACACTTTCACACTGTTGGTGGGAGTGTAAATTAGTTCAACCATTGTGGAAGACAATGTGGCGGTTCTTCAAGGATCTAGAACTAGAAATACCATTTGACCCAGCAATCTCATTACTGGGTATACACCCAAAGGATTATAAATCATCCTACTATAAGGACACATGCACACATATGCTTATTGCAGCACTGTTCACAATAGCAAAGACTTGGAACCAACCCAAATGCCCATCAATGACACACTGGATAAAGAAAATATGGCACATATATACCATGGAATACTATGCAGCCATGAAAATGGATGAGTTCGTGTCCTTTGCAGGGATGTGGATGAAGCTGGAAACCATCATTCTCAGCAAACTAACACAAGAACAGAAAACTAAACACTACATGTTCTCACTCATAGGTGGGAGTTGAACAATGAGAACACATGGACACAGGGAGGGTAACATCACACACTGGGGCCTGTCAGGGGGTGGGGGGCGAGGGGAGGGATAAGATTAGGGGAAATACCTAATGTAGATAACAGGTTAATGGGTGCAGCAAACTACCATAGCATGTGTATACCTATGTAACAAACCCGCATGTTCTGCACATGTATCCCAGAACTTAAAGTATAATTTAAAAAAAAAAATCTCTTTACCAATTCTTTCTTCTCTACACACTCACAGGTGATTTTCAGTGAAGTAGCTCAAGAATCATGAGACATTTTAATATTACATATGGTTTCATCTCACTGTCTAATTTCACATCTACTGTATCTGGATACCTAATTGAAACTCATTTTAATTTCCTTCAATTTAAATATCTTCTCTCTCTCTCTCTCTCTCATACACACACACACACACAAGAATAACTATGAATGAAATTATCCTTTGTTTATATCATCCAGAGATGACTACAATTCATTAGAGTTAGGAGAAATTATTGGAAAATGTTGACTGTTTATACAACCTTGGTACTGAAAGTTCCTTGATGCAAAAAAAAAAAGTGAAAGAAATAAATTGAAGAAAGAAGATAAATCTTCTTAAAGGATATAGAATTCAATGATAATCCAAAATGGATTCAATTCATACTTAATCATTAATACTGTTCTTGGATAATCTTATGTCTATTTAAGAATATTTAATAATAACATTTACACTGGCTGAGCACTATCAGCATATTAGTTTTTATAGTAAACTTATAGAAGACCAAGTCCTATTCTCATGTCTATTTAATAAATATTGACTTCTTGTTTAGGTATCAGACAAGATTTATTGACATGACAATTCCATATTTTCTGAGAAGGATTAAAATTTTTATTAGGCCCCAAAACTAGAAGGCAATATCAATACTAGTCTTCTCACACTCATTTATCATAAAATTCATTCAAACCGCAGATTGAGGTTTCCATAAAACAATTAGTCCTGTTTCTCGTTCCATGCAAACAGGACAGACAGAATTTATTCAAACATCTTTCTCAAATCAGATGTGAACAAAGAACTCTCAAGTCTAGATGCAATGTTGAATTTAGTAACAGTGCTCCTAAAACCAGCCAGATCTCTCAAAAGGCAAGGTGAGAAGGGGGAGACGCACAGCAGTGCAGACACTGAGCTGCCAGGTGAGGACGGGAATCATCACCGTCTGGCCTACTGTCACATTGTCAAAGTGGAAAACACTAAATTAATTTGCATGCATGAAGATCCTCTCTTGATTTGCATGTAATTGTCATCTAAGAGATAATAAAGGGCAATATGAAAGGATTTTATTTTATTTTATGTATCTATTTGTTTGCTTTTTAATTTCCCACTTAACATAGAGCAAAAGGAAAAAATCTAAGGAGGTCCTGAAATATAATCTGAAACAATAACCAATAACTGGATTGCTAAGAGAAAATAAGGATCCATAGATGAGCATACCTGAAAAGAATGAAGCCACCTTAGGCTTTAGTTGATTTGCTTATTTCCTTTAAATAATATATGCAAAGTTTCTACATAATATCAGCATATATTAAGTATTTAATAAATGAGCACTGTTGTTATTATGATTGATATTATTATAATGAATTTCTAGCAAAGGAATATTTGCAAAGCAAATACTCTTGATAAAGACACCACAAGCATGTTGAAAGAATAAATAATAGTTCGCTCCTTTATTGAAACATTATTTTTATTGTGTTCTGTTGTTAAGAGGGAAGGAGAAGATGGGGACAGGTAGGAATAATAGAACAAAATATGTATATATCATCAGGTAAAGACTAAGCTAAAACTAATCAATTTTTACTATTTAATAATTATAGGCTTTCACCAAAGCCAGAAACCAGATATTAAGTGCATATATATGATATATATATATATATATTTGGTTTGATGTGCTCCAGATAGGCTTCCATATTATTCAACCCAGAAACTAAAAATAAAAATAATCATTATGCATTCAGAAATTGACATGGCCTTAACCTCAGAATAGTAAAGTTTTACAGACATCCCCAAATCAGTAACTAGATTATCCTAAGTTATCAACACAACAAGTACTTTCATGTTATCCTAACAAAACAATTATTTACCTACAGCACTGCCTGGTACAGAGTAAGTGCTCAGTAAATATTTGTTAAATTAATGAATGAACCAGAAAAATAATGTAATGGCATTTTACAAATGATCAATAAATGTATTATTTTTTGAATGGAATAACTCTGCTTAAACATAAGAGGTATAAAACCAGTCAAGGAAAGGATCCTAACATACACTCTTCAAAATACCGTTTAATCTTAGAGAGTCCGATAGTATTTAACTCTGTTATGGTTTGTGATATAAGCAGAAGCATCAAAACAGCTTTACAAAATTCTCTATGATAACACCTTGGCTCATTTCTCTCTCTCACCAAATGAAGACATTAAATATCACTTTTTTTGTATTGTGGAAACTTGTCCTTATCTGATGATATATACATATACATTAAATTCTTACAGGAAAGGTGACATGGTTTAATAATTAGTCTTGAAAACTGCTTCTCAAACAAGATACCACTCTGAAAATAAAATAAAATAAAATAAAATAAAAAGACTAATGAGAAAGATTGCTTTCATGCACTACCTGTGTGTTATCCATGGAAAATACAGACAGATTTTAGGTGTCTGGGGGGAATGCTATTTGCTTAGAAAGGTGTTTTTCAGGCAAAAAGTAGATGTTAAAATTTAACACTTTACTTCAAACTCTGTCATTTATCCATTTGGAAAATTAACTTGAAATATAGGTTGCCATTTTCTATATACGTGATAGGTTAACATTTGCTTCTAACAAGGTGGCATCAAAGTTTAGCAAACTCAGAATATGACAATGTAAGTGTACATAATATAACTGCAAGAATACATTACCAAGTAATTGAATGCAATTTAAAATGTAAATGGTGATTTTATTTAGGTGCAGATAAATGAAAAGAATCAAGTTTATTTCTTTTTTCAAAAGTATCTTTAATTGCCTTAGGTCAAATCCATTCCACATAGATAATCTATCATTCAAATCAAAGGGTGATAATTTTGGTCTCAAAAGCAGCAATTTTGAATTTGAAAAGCATATCTCTTTTGGAATCAGTGCTGTTGTGTCCACATTTTACCTTTGCAAGAGAAATATAAATATACAAAGATCATATAATAATTTGATGGTCATTATAAAACAACACATACAAAATTATTCTGTTACTAAGAAGAGAGTTAAAATTAAATCATAAAAATTAGAATTCTTTATACTTAAATTTAACCAATAGAAAATACATCAAATTCTCCAGAAGAAAAAACAGGAGGGATATTTTGAAACTAGTTTCCAAGTAATGCTGATAAACTTCCCTGACTGGAATAATCTCATAATGCTATATAGCCACAATTACAGCATTGACAATATTATTTTCCTATTTTATTTGGGTACCAGGTATTTCCATCTCAGTGTCCTGTCATAGTCTCCAAATCTTACCACATTCATAGCTAAACTTGTTATCTTCCTTCCCCAACTTTAACCTATTTTATCTCAGATAATCTCTATCAGAGTTTACAGCATATCCAATATCATTATCCTAAACTATAAATTTCAGTCTTTCTCGGAGACTCCTTTCTTCTCAACCCTCTATGAATCAGCATGATCTTTCAATGCTGTCTCTAAAATTTCTCTCCAATCTGGCTGAGCTTCTTGCCTCCATGTTACAAAAATTGCTTCATCATCTTTCAACAAGACTAATGCAACAGTCTCCCAACTGCTGTCCCTGTCCCCACTTGTTTTCAATTTGGTCCACTCTCTAAAGTGCTCCCAGAATTACATTTATTAAAAAGTACTTATTATATAATAATATCTCTTATCTTATTAAAGACTTCTTTCAGCTCACTATGGTCTTTAAAAAAAAGTTGCAAAATCTTTTTTTTTTTTATTTGAGACAAGGTCTGGCTCCATTGCCCAGGCTGGAGCACAGTGGCACAATCTCATTTCACTCCAGCCTCAACCTCCCAGGCTCAACCCCAGCCTCCTGGGTAGCTGGGGCTACAGGCACATGCCATCATGCCAAGCTAATTTTGTTTATTTTTTGTAGAGAAGAGGTCTCATTATGTTGCCTAGGCTGGTCTCCAACTCCTGCACTCAAGCAATCCTCCCACCTCAGCCTCCCGCCTCACTCGGGCCCATGAGCCACTGCACACGCCCAAGTTTCAAAATCTTTAACATGTCATATATTGCTCTTCAAAATTTGACTACACTTTACAGCATCAACTTCGACTTTCCCAAACTTCCATACTTAATAACCTATGGATTTCTCACTTATGAGTATAATGCTTATGGGTGGTTACACACGCTATTTTTTCTGCATGGATTACTCTTTTCTAGAAAATTCCTACACATTCTCTAATCCCAACTCAATTTTCACTTCCTCTATGAAATCTTCCCCAGTTCCTCCAGAGTGGGACACTGTTTCCTTTACAGAGCTTTCATGGAAACAAGGAAGTTCACCATGAAAAAGGAAGACAGAGGATTCTGAAAACAGGAAATTTAAAATCCAGAGGAGGAAAAGGGAATTCCCAGAAAGATGCTGAAAGAAATTTCCTGGAAGACAACTACGCAGTAAGCCAGGGGGAAAACCAACAACCTAAAAAGCAGGAAATGACATTGGCTGGAGGCAAAAGAAAAAGCATGCTATCAAATTTCCAGGTGTCTCGATCTATTGAGAGGAAACTTCAGAGTTTTTTTTTTGGAGAATTTGGAAGAAAATTAGAGGTAGACACCTAGAAATTTTCCTCCCCCCAAACTAATGAGGTTACTGTTGCATCTGGGATAAATTAAAATTTGTGTAAGAAAAGGAATGTGATCAGCTTCTATGTGACTCAGCTCTGAACAACAGTTGCTAATAAAAGGAATATAATCTCTGAATATTAAGTAAACAAAAATGTGTTAATCATAGCTATATGATCCCTGAATATTAAATAAACTTAAATGTGTGATACAATTAAATTGGGAGGCATTTTACACAATTAACTCTTCATCCTCCAGAAGAGGATTGGATGATATCTAAGATTGAAAAAATCAAGAAACAGAGGTACACTCACATGTTTTAGATGTAGGATGTGAAGGCCAGAAGAAACCACAAAAGATCCCTAAGGACCAAGCAGGACTTGTGTTCCGCAACTCCAGGGGCATTATTCAGATTGAGTTCTCTGGGAGTGGTGCCCCCAGAGTTGTGAAACAGGGGACTTAGGGTCAGAAGACCAGAATGGGGACAGTGAGGTAGGGGAACACTGTTTTTCATTACACCCTTGTAGTATTATTTGACATTGTAAATTATGTATGTAAGAAAAATATTTCAATGTAGGAGAATAATGGTGGTGGCATTCAAAGTAATACATCTTTGATCTTCAATATCATTTTCTGCCAGGAGCGGTGGCTCACTCCTGTAATCCTAGCACTTTGGGAGGCCAAGGTGGGCAGATCACTTGAGGTCAGGAGTTCGAGAACAGCATGGCCAACATGGTGAAACCCCATCTCTACTAAAAATACAAAAATTAGCCGGGCATAGTGGTGCATGCCTATAATCCCAGCTACTTGGAAGGCTGAGGCAGGAGAACTGCTTGAATCTGGGAGGCGGAGGTTGCAGTGAGCCAAGACTGTGCTATTGCACTCCAGCCTGGATGACAGAGGGAGACTGTCTCAAAAAAAAAAAAAACATTTTCTACCCCAACTAAGTTGGTAAATCCCTATTATGTACTCCTACAAAATCTTCAACTTAACTTTCATAAGAGACAATAATAGTGCGGTATAATTATTATCTAAACTATATTTAAATAGGATAACATCAAGTAACTCTCAAAAGTAAAGCAGTAACATTTAACACCCATTATTTTAAGAGACAATTCCAACAAAAACAAATAGCTCAAGACTGACAGAGGTAAATATATTTAAAAATTCTAACAAGTTGGATTAAGAAATTTTAGCAAAATTGGCAATAAAAATCCTAATTGTTATATGATATCATCAAGTACAGATACAGCTCTCATATCGGACACAATTAGGATAACAGTTTAATCAGAAAAGTTGGTTAAAATAAAAAACAGGAATCATTTAAAAAAACAGTTAAATCCTGTGGCAGACAATGTTGATCCTGATATAAAAGCCATGTGACACTTCCTTCTTAGCTGACCCATGACAATTTTATTTGGGTGGCAATGTTTCCCCTGCAGGTAGACTCCTCCTCAGCCTCAAGATATAAACCTGGATCAGTCTGCAGCATTTTAGCAAACTGGTTGAATATTGCCATCATTTAAGGATGGGCATGTGATGCAATACTGTACCCTGAGACAAGAGGAAATCTGCTAAGAAGTTATATAAGGCCCTTCTCCATGATGATTGGAGAGTAAGATGTGAAGAGAAGCTGTGCCACCTTCCATCTGCCAGGGATGATGCCACCTAAGGATATAAATTTGGTTCCATGAGAGCCACACTGCTACCCAGAAAATCTCAGAAAAGCAGTCCAAGAGACTCGATCATCCTTTACATGTTAATTCATCAAAACTGAAATGGTCTAAGCATGAAATTCTTATGTGAAATAATTAAATACATTTACTGCTTGAGAAATTTTTATTAGGAAATTCTATTCCTTGACTATGAAAGCATCCTAACTGATTCAGACATACTTTAAGGTTTAACTTTTCAATGAAAGCTTATATTTTTACCTAAGTGGTCATTTGATACAGGGTTTGGACCTTTCCTTAGAGTACAACTCTTGAGATTCAAATTTTACTTAGTCTTTCATTAAAAGGGAGCTAAAACATAATAAATTACAAAACAGTCTGAGAAATGACTCCTGGACTTTTACAGTGTTCTTTTTAATCATTAATGTTTTTCATACACACCTACCTTAATGATAGTTTTTACTAACTTGCCTTAATCATTTTTCCAATGCTTTCATGTATAATTTTTATTTTCCTTAATCAGTAATATTTTACACATCAGATTATGTGACAGATGTACTCAATCTAAAGATGAATAATTTTTTAAATGCCTAATATAATCCATCAAGCACAAAAAAAGAACATTAACAGGAAGTTTGAAGCCTAGGACTAGAACTGCTGGCTATGAAGGTATGTATGAACATCATCAACTTTACCAGACAGTGTCAAATTGCTTTTCAAAGTGCTTTTACCAGTTCATACCCCACCTATAATACAGGAGTGGTTCTCTTGCTCCATATTATTGTCAAGACTTAATGTTGCCAAACATTTTCGTTTGTGTCAATCTGGTGGGTGTGAAATGGTATATTGTTACAGTTTTCAACCTAATCTTCATAGAAACAGATTTTTACACTTATTCAGTTGTTTTACACAGCATATAATTATAGTGGCAAGCATAAAGAGGTTTAGGAACAGATACTGTAGACTCTCTTGGTAAACACACAACTCAGCCAAAGGAAGAAGTGAAGCAGGCACGCTGCAGAAAAGCCTAATAGTTATGGGCCTTTATCATGCCATGGACATCAAGTTCTCAGAAAGAATGTAGAATCCTGATTAATCAGATTAGTCCATTAAGTTGAGATCAGTTCAGAGAGCTTCTCCTGTCATTTCCAAACAGAATCCTACTATAGTTGGGATGTCATTTCCAGGCTGGATGGAACACTGCTCAGATGCAGTGTATGCAATTGCTTCTACTCTTAAGACCATGTTTGTCATTTTTGTCTTCTACTCTGGAGAATTCTATTTTTCTTTTTTAAAAATGATGAAATATTTTAAAAATACAGTAAAATACAAACAAGAGTAATCTTAATGTAATGCTATGTTTGCCATGAATCTTTTTTTTTTTTTGAGAACCACGACATTACAGATACAATTGAATCCCTGTGGATCCAGAACCAATTATGTATTTCACATTTGCCCCAGATAAACACACTGTGAATTTAATACTTACTATTCTTTTATTAGTCAAGATCATTCAAGAAACAGTACATCAAGAAGAGCTCAATGAAGAAAGTTTAATGAAGAGACAATTTAAAATGGTATGGAAAGGGTTTAAATTAATAAAAAATGGAAAAGTATCCTAAGAGTAATAAGAGTAGAAAGGCTTTCCTAATCCTAGGCCAGAAAGATAAAGATATAGAGTTAGTTCTTGGAACCCTAAGCAACGTGTATCTGTCAGAGAAGTCTTCATGACAGAATCTGTGGCCTGGAGAAATGTGTCATGCCCAGTGAAGGTCTGGCAGAGCAAAAAGTAGGGACTGGACTCCCAGTGGCTAAGTTCAGCTGGCAGCAGTAGGATCAAAGTAAAGTACATAAAAGCAGATAGTAGAGGTATCATAAAACAAAAGAAAAAATAGATTAGAGAAACAAAAAAGATGATAACGGCTAATTTTAAAATTTTGTTCCTATGAGTGGCCAGAAAGTAGGGTAAAAATAACAAAGAAAAGGAATTTTATACTAGATTTGCTATAAAATCAATTGAAATGTTTATGATACACAAGAGGACAGAGTTAATGTGCTATAATAGATTATCCCTCACTATACTTTATTTTATTTATTTTATTTATTATCCCTCACTATATTTTATTTAGTCATTTCAATTCAATGAGGTTAGAACTTTAAAGTTAGAAATTAAATTTTTTGTTTAAACAAAAACTTTCATAGCATTAAAGAATTGTTTAAAATACAATACATAATTGTCTCATTCTGAAAGTGAATTTATAATGTTACATATGAACATTTTGTTTCATTATAAATATATACAGCTATATATTATAGCTATGTGTAACTTTTAAATAACTAAATTTTAATAAATAATATAGATAAATAAAATAAATAACCTTTCTAAATAATAAAACCACACACACAGAGCATTTGTTAGTATAAGTTACTCCAAAAGCAAAGTCTGAGTCAAGGACTTGGACGCAGCTGATTTATTTGAACAACTAATCCCAAGAAGCACAAGGCAACAGACAACAGAAGATAGGGAAAGAAAAAAACTGTAGGCAAGACCATAAAAAGTGAAATAACTTTAGGGGTTCATATTCATTTAGCCCATTGATATAGGCACAAATAGCTATAAATCATTTAATTTCATATTTATATCATTGGTAATTTATCCACCAAGTTACCCACAATGCAATGTTCAAATTAAGAAATTCAATTACATAATTTGAAATATTAACTGAAATAAAAAAGACATGATCATTTCAACTGATTTTTAAAAATAATTTTAGGTAAGTAAATGGTTGTTTGATAGAAATTTTAAAAAATAATGATAGATAGCTATTTGTTCAACATAAAAAGAAGAAATAATCAAAAACTTACTGTTAATAGTACACCTAATAGGCTTTTGGAAGAATTCCCTTTAGAGTGGGAATACATACTAGCACCCATGCATGGATTTCCTAGCCAATGCAATAATATAAAAAATAGAAATGAATTTCAAGAAATATAAAAACAGAGTTAAGGCTGTTTTTCCTCAGATGTTTTCATTTCTTACATGCACATAAAATTCAAGAGAATTAGCAGATAAAGTGATATAGCTGTAATGCAAGTTCAGTTTGGTACAACAATCATTAGAAAAGCAGAAATAATGATTTTACTGTAAAGCAGAAATAATGCATCAGAAAATGTAATATTAGTTTATTCAACACATTTTGAGAGCCCACTATGTGACAGATCGTATTCTAGGTACTAGCGATACAGCAGTGAACAAAAGAGACAAAAATGTCTGTCTTCTCTAAGCTTACATTCTAGTTAAAAAATAGAAATTACAGTAATATTAGAAAAAAGAAAATATTTAATTCACCATAGAAACAAAAACTATGAGGTATAGACCTAGCAATGGACCAAACAAATACAATACCAAAATAATGGAGAAAAATGGCATGTTCATAGATTGAAATAGTATCATAAAGATGTCGATTGGTCTATAAATTAAATACAATTTCGATCAAAATACAACAATTTGGAGGAGGAGAGGAGACTTTAAAATTCATGTGAAAGATTTGAAGGTGCTGAGAATAAATAAAACAATTTTTGAAGAAGAGAAGGGGTTCCACTTCATGAAATCAAGACTAATATGGTTTATATCTGTGTCCCCACCCAAATGTCATGTTCCATTTTAATCCTCAGTGTTGGATTGGGATCCAGTAGGAGGTAACTGGATCATAAGAGCAGTTTTTCATGAGTTAACACAATCCCCCTTGGTGCTGTCATCACAATAGTGAGTTCTCATTTGGTTGTTTAAAAGTGTGTGGCAACTCCCCCATCTCTCCCCTTCACCTTCTACCATGATTGAAAGTTTCCTTACGCCTCCCCAGAAGCCAAGCAGATGCCAGCATCATGCTTTCTGTACAGCCTGCAGAACTATGAGCCAATTAAGCCTCTTTCCCGTATAAATTACCCAGTCTCAGGTATTTCTTTATAGCAATGCAAGAACAGACAACTACTAAGACTTTATTGAAAAAATTATAGTTGCAAAGACAATATTGCTTTGGTCAGGGATACAAAAATGAGCCAATTGAAAAAAAACAGAAACTACAGAAATAAACTCATGTATACTTAATAAATCACTGAAGTTATATAAAAATCTAATGTGGAAGTATTCACTATTCAATAAATAGATCTGGGTGAAATAGACTGATCTACATGGGGAAAAAATGTCTGTAAGGGTCAAATGTTTATTATCTTGAGGTAGGAAAGAATTTCTTACATAAGATACTGAAAGGTGAAGATGGCTGGGCTTTTGGGTCAGGTGGGGACTTGGAGAACTTTTCTGTCTAGCTAAAGGACTGTAAACACACCAATCAGCATCCTGTGTCTAGCTAAAGGTTTGTAAATGCACCAATCAGCACTCTATAAAAACACACCAATCAGCGCTCTTCTAGCTAACGGTTTGTAAAAGCACCAATCAGCACTCTGTAAAAACGCACCAATCAGCATTCTGTGTCTAGCTAAAGGTTTGTAAATGCACCAATCAGCACTCTGTAAAAACACACTAATCAGCGCTCTGTGTCTAGCTAAAGGTTTGTAAAAGCACCAATCAGCACTCTGTAAAATGGACCAATCAGCAGGACATGGGTAGGGCCAAATAAGAGAATAAAAGCTGGCCACCTGAGCCAGCAGCGGCAACCCGCTTGGGTCCCCTTCCACACTGTGGAAGCTTTGTTCTTTTGCTCTTCACAATAAATCTTGCTGCTGCTCACTCTTCGGGTCTGCACTACCTTTATGAGCTGTAACACTCACTGCGAAGGTCTGCGGCTTCACTCCTGAAGTCAGCAAGACCACAAACCCACTGGGAGGAACAAACAACTCTGGACACGCCACCTTTAAGAGCTGTAATCCTCACTGTGAAGGTCTGCGGCTTCACTCCTGAAGTCAAGCAAGACCACGAACCCACCGGAAGGAAGAAACTCCAGACACATCTGAACATCTGAAGGAACAAACTCCAGACACACCATCTTTAAGAACTGTAACACACTGCGAGGGTCTGCAGCTTCACTCTTGAAGTCAGTGAGACCAAGAACCCTCTGGAAGGAGCCAATTCCAGACACTTTTTGGTGACCATGAAGGGACTATTGACTATCGCCAAGCAGTGAGTACCATTGGACCCCTTTCACTTGCTATCCCTCTGTCCTATTTTTCCTTAGAATTTGGGGGCTAAATAGCGGGCACCTGTCGGCCAGTTAAAGTGACTAGCATGGCCACCGGACTAAAGACACGGGTGTCAAGCTTTCTGCGAAAGGGCTCTCTAACAACCCCCAGCTTCGGAGTTGGGAGTGTTGGTTTGCAACTCTCAAAGTCACGTAGCCCAAGCGAGACTCGCCCATCTATCCTAGCTATCTGACCCTTGCCTCCTGGGTCCTAATGCCTATTAGACAAACTTCCTCTTGCCTCTCTTCTCCAAGGCTAGTCCCGCTTCTAAAAACCACTACCTGTCTCTGATGGTTTTCTAGTTTCTCCTTTAAGAATGATTTCTAGTATAAACTTCAGGATTCTGATACCTTCTTTAGGCACCCAGGCTCAACAATCAGAAACATAATTTTTGCCCAAAGCCCCATCGGGGTGGGGGAGTATCTGGAATTTTAGGATCCCTCCTCAGACTAGCAGGCCTAACAAAAGCTATTCCTGAAGCAAGGATATGGGGAGCCTCAGAAATGACGTCCTTCCTATTCAAGTGAGGACAAAAGGTGTTAATCTTCCAACCCTGTGGCTCCCTTCCCTCTCTCAGGGTATGGCCCTCCACTTCATTTTCGGGGCATAACATCTTTATAGGACAGGGGTAAAGTCCCAGTACTAACAGGAGAATGCTTAGGACTCTAACAGGTTTTCGAGAATGCGTCAGTAAGGGCCACTAAATCCGATTTTTCTCGGTCTTCTTTGTGGTCTAGGAGGACAGGCAAGGGTGCAGGTTTTCGAGAATGCATCAGTAAGGGCCATTAAATCCAACATTCCTCGGTCCTCCTTGTGATCTGGAGGAAAACTAGTGTTTCTGCTGCTACATCGGTGAGTGCAACTATTCTGATCAGCAGGGTCCAGGGACCACTGCAGGTTCTTGGGCAGGGAGAGAAACAAACCAAACCGCAGGCGGTTTTGTCTTTCAGATGGGAAACACTCAGGCATCAACAGGTTCACCCTTGAAATGCATCCTAAGTCATTGGGATGAATTTGACCCACAAACCCTGAAAAAGAGGTGGCTCATTTTTTCCGCACTAGGGCCTGGCCCCAATATTCTCTCTCTGATGGTGAAAAATGGCCCCCTGAGGGAAGTGTAAAATTACAATGCTATCCCGCAGCTTGACCTTTTCTGTAAGGGGAAGGCAAATGGAGTGAAATACCTTATGTCCAAGCTTTCTTTTCATTGAAGGAGAATACACAACTATGCAAACCTTGCAATTTACATCCCACAGAGGACCTCTCAGCTTACCCCCATATTCTAGCCTCCCTACAGCTCCGCTTCCTATTAATGATAAGCCTTCTCTAATCTCCCCTGCCCAGAAGGAAATAAGTAAAGAAATTTCCAAAGGACCACAAAAACCCCCAGGCTATCAGTTATGTCCCCATCAAGCTGTAGGGGGAGGGGAATTTGGCCCAACCCGGGTACATGTCCCTTTCTCCCTCTCTGATTTAAAGGAGATCAAGGCAGACTTGAGGAAGTTTTCAGATAATCCTGTTAGGTACACAGATGTCCTACAGGGTCTAGGGCAAACCTTCAATCTCACCTGGAGAGATGTCATGCTATTGTTAGATCAAAACCTGGTCTTTAATGAAAAGAATGTGGCTTTAGCTGCAGCCCGAGAGTTTGGAGATACCTGGTATCTTAGTCAAGTAAATGATAGGATGACAGCCAAAAAAAGGGACAAATTCCCTACCGGTCAGCAAGCCGTCCCCAGTATGGATCCCCAATGGGACCTCAACTCAGCTCATGGGGACTGGAATTGCAAACATCTGTTGACCTGTGTTCTAGAAGGACTAAGGAGAATTAGGAAAAGGCCCATGAATTATTCAATGATGTCCACCATAACTCAGGGAAAGGAAGAAAATCCCTCTGCCTTCCTCAAGCAGCTAAAGGAGGCCTTAAGAAACTATACTCCCCTGTCACGCAACTCACTAGAGGGTCAATTGATAAGTTTATTACCCAATCAGCTGCAGATATCAGGATAAAGCTCCAAAAGTGAGCCCTGGGCCCTGAACAAAATCTGGAGGCATTATTAAACCTAGCAACCTCAGTGTTCTATAATAGGGACCAAGAGGAACAGGCCCAAAAGGAAAAGCGAGATCAGAGAAAGGCTGCAGCCTTAGTCATTGCCCTCAGACAAACCAACCTTGGTGGTTCAGAGAGGACAGAAAATGGAGCAGGTCAATCACCAGGAAAGACTTGTTATCACTGTGGTTTACAAGGATATTTTAAAAAAGATTGTCCAATGAGAAACAAGCTGCCCCCTCGTCCATGTCCACTGTGCCTAGGCAATCACTGGAAGGCACACTGCCCCAGAGGGCAAAGTTTCTCTGGGCCAGAAGCCCCCAACCAGATGATCCAACAACAGGACTGAGGGTCCCCAGGGCAAGCACCAGCTCATGTAATCACCCTCACTGAGCCCCAGGTACATTTAACCATTGAGGACCAGGAAATTGACTTCCTCCTGGACACTGGCGCAGCGTTCTCAGTGTTAATCTCCTGTCCTGGACGACTGCCTTCAAGGTCTGTTACCATCCAAGGAATCCTGGGAAAGCCTGTAACCAGGTATTTCTCCCACCTCCTCATTTGTAATTGGGAGACTTTGCTCTTTTCACATGCCTTCCTTGTTATCCTGAAAGTCCCACAATCTTATTAGGGAGGGATATATTTGCCAAAGCTGGAGCTATTATCTATATGAATATGGGGAACAAGCTACCTATTTGTTGTCCCCTACTTGAGGAGGGAAACAACCCTGAAGTCTGGACATTGGAAAGACAATTTGGAAGGGCAAAAAATGCCCACCCAGTCCAAATCAGGCTAAAAGATCCCACCACTTTTCCTTTTCAAAGGCAACATCCCTTAAGGCCTGAAGCTCATAAAGGATTACAAGATATTGTTAAACATTTAAAAGCTCAAGGCTTAGTAAGGAAATGCAGCAGTCCCTGCCACACCCCAATTCTATGAGTACAAAAACCGAAGGGTTCAGTGGGGACTAGTGCAAGATCTTAGACTCATCAATGAGGCAGTAGTTCCTCTATATCCAATTGTACCCAATCCCTATACCCTGCTCTCTCAAATACAAGAGGAAGCAGAAAGATTCACTGTTCTGGACCTCAAGGATGCCTTCTTCTGTATTCCCCTGCACTCTGACTCCCAGTTTCTCTTTGCCTTTGAGGATCCCACAGACCACACATCCCAACTTACATGGACAGTCTTGCCTCAAGGGTTTAGGGATAGCCCTCATCTGTTTGGTCAGGCACTGGCCCAAGATCTAGGCCACTTCTCAAGTCCAGGCACTCTGGCCCTTCAGTATGTGGATGATTTACTTTTGGCTACCAGTTTGGAAGCCTCATGCCAGCAGGCTACTCTAGATCTCTTGAACTTTCTAGCTAATCAAGGGTACAAGGCGTCTAGGTCAAAGGCCCAGCTTTGTCTATAGCAGGTCAAATAACTAGGCCTAATCTTAGCCAGAGGGACCAGGGCCCTCAGCAAGGAACAAATACAGCCTATACTGGCTTATCCTTGCCCTAAGACATTAAAACAGTTGTGGTCATTCCTTGGAATCACGGCTTTTGCTGACTATGGATCCCTGGATACAGCGAGATAGCCAGGCCCCTTTATACTCTAATCAAGGAGACCCAGAGGGCAAATACTCATCTAGTAGAATGGGAACCACAAGCAGAAACAGCCTTCAAAACCTTAAAGCAGGCCCTAGTACAAGCTCCAGCTTTAAGCCTTCCCACAGGACAAAACTTCTCTTTATATGTCACAGAGACAGCAGGGATAGCTCTTGGAGTTGTTAGACTCGTGGGACGACCCCACAACCAGTGGCATACCTAAGTAAGTAAATTGATGTAGTAGCAAAAGGCTGGCCTCACTGTTTAAGGGTAGTTGTGGTGGTCATCTTAGTGTCAGAGGCTATCAAAATAATACAAGGAAAAGATCTCACTGTCTGGACTACTCATGATGTAAATGGCATACTAGGTGCCAAAGGAAGTTTATGGCTATTGGACAACCACCTACTTAGATACCAGGCGCTACTCCTTCAGGGACCAATGCTTCAAATACTTATGTGCATGGCCCTCAACCCTGCCACTTTTCTCCCAGAGGATGGGGAACCAATTGAGCATGACTGCCAACAAATTATAGTCCAGACTTATGCTGCCCGAGATGATCTCCTAGAAGTCCCCTTAGCTAATCTTGACCTTAACCTATATACCGATGGAAGTTCATTTGTGGAGAATGGGATATGAAGGGCAGGTTATGCCATAGTTAGTGATGTAACCGTACTTGAAAGTAAGCCTCTTTCCCAGGGACCAACGCCCAGTTAGCAGAAATAGTGGCACTTACCCAAGCCTTAGAACTGGGAAAGGGAAAAAGAATAAATGTGTATACAGATAGCAAGTATGTTTACCTAATCCTACATGCCCATGCTGCAATATGGAAAGAAAGGGCGTTCTAACCTCTGGAAGAACCCCCATTAAATACCACAAGGAAATTATGGAGTTATTGCACACAGTGCAAAACCCAAGGAGGTGGCAGTCTTACACTGCCAAAGCCATCAAAAAGGTGAAGAAGAAAAGGCAGAAGGAAACTGTTGGGCAGATGCTGAGGCCAAAATTCCTGCCAAGCGGAACCTCCCATTAGAAATACCTATGGAAGGACCCTGGGTATTGAACAACCCCCTCCAACAGATTAAGCCCCAGTATTCCCCAACTGAAACAGAATGGGGACTTTCACGGGGTCATAGTTTTCTCCCCTCAGGGTGGTTAACGACAGAAGAAGGAAAGGTACTTAAACCCAAAGCCAGCCAGTGGAAAATACTTAAATCCCCCCACCAAACTTTTCATATGGGTATTGAAAACACTCATCAAATGGCCAAATCCCTATTTACAGGGCCAAATCTCCTCCAGACCATCCGACAGGTAGTCAAAGCCTGTGAGGTGTGCCAAAGGAATAATCCCTTGTTCCATCATAAGTACCCTTTGGGGAAACAAAGAATAGGTCACTATCCTGGAGAGGACTGGCAGTTAGACTTCACCCATATGCCTAAGTCAAAGAGATTTCAATACTTGTTGGTCTGTGTTGATACCTTTACAAATTGGATAGAACCTTTCCGCTTCAAGACAGAGAAGGTTCAGGAAGTGATTAAAGTCCTAATTCATGAAATAATTCCTAGATTTGGGATTCCCCAAAGCTTACAGAGTGACGATGGTCCAGCTTTTAAAGCCATGATAACTCAGGGAATTTCGAGGGTGCTAAGGATACAATATCACCTTCACTGCTCCTGGAGGCCACAATCCTCAGGGAAGATCCAGAAAGCAAATGAAACCCTCAAGAGGCACTTAAGGAAACTAACACAAGAAACTCATCTCCCATGGCCTACTCTTTTGCCCATGGCCTTGTTGAGAATCCAAAATTCTCCTCACAAAATGGGGCTCAGTCCATATGAAATGCTGCATGGACAACCTTTTCTCACAAATGACCTCCTACTTGATCAGGAAACGGCCAACCTGGTCAAAGATATAACTTCTTTGGCAAAATATCAACAAAACCTTAAAAACCTCCCTGAAGGATATCACAGAGAAAAAGGAACAGAGTTGTTTCAACCAGCAGATCTAGTGTTGGTCAGATCTCTCCCCTCTACCTCCCCATCTATGGACTCTTTGTGGGAAGGACCATACTCACTCATTCTCTCCCCACTGCAGTTAAGGTGGCAGGAGTGGAATCTTGGATTCACCACACCTGAGTTAAATTTTGGACACCCCCTGAGGAACCTGTGGGACCGTCAGCTCAGGAGTCCCAAGATCATCCAGACCAGCCTCGATACACCTGCGAACCATTGGAGGACTTGCATCTCCTATTTCAAAAGGAAACATCCCAGACTAAAAAGGTTCCTACCACTGATCCTGAAGAAAAACCCCTTCCTCCTTAAAAAAAATTAGTGAAAGCCTACATAATCTTTATCTTTAACACCTCTCCTTGCCCCTTTAATGGAATCCTTTTACTATTTCATCATATTATTAAGCAGCATACTAACTGTATTCTTTGCGATAGGGCTATATACTGTAGCTCCTGCTGGGATGAAAATCCTAATCACATCAACCTTCTTTCTATCTTCCTTCCTTCTGACAGCAATTTACTCCTACCTTTAACTCAGACTGGATAAAATGATCTCGTCTTTCAGAGCACCCTCGTTACCTTCCCATTTACTCTTTGCCTAGTTATCCTTCCCGCTTCTTTAGATGTCTCATACAATCACCCATCCTCTTCCACTAGCTCCTAATTACCTCTACAAGACTCTCAATGTAACCCACTCTCTGTTAAACCAGTCCAATCCTTCCCTGGCAAATGACTGTTGGCTTTGTATCTCTCTATCAACCTCTGCTTATGTTGACACTCCCATTCCCGCAAAAAAGTTGGGTCTTTACCAACTTAAACTACCACCCTCATTATGAAGGAAAAGACCCTTTCTGACTTCTAAATATGCAATCATTAGCCAACTTCCCTATCTCTGATAGGACCAAGACTACCCTAACAGGACATGCAATCCAAATTTGCGTCCTTACTTTTCCAACCTCACCTATTACACAAGCAATGAAAAGCCCATACACGGCCCTGTAACTATGAATACCATCTTAACTTTCCAAGCCCCTTTATGCATCCAATGCAACCTGTTAACAGGCCTGCCCCTGGGGCACCTACTACCGCATCAGTGTAATTATACCCTACAACTTGAAGCCCCAGCTGATCACAGTAATTTCCGAGTAACCCAAACAGCTCCATTCAGATGGCTTGTCCACTTCTCAGCGCCCCCAAAAATCATCACCTCCTCGCTACTTAACAAACAGTCCAGGTTTTGTAATGGCAAACATACTCCCTGCATGACCATTCACCCCTGGACTCCCTCCAGCAGTGCCCCCACCACTAGTGAATGCCTTCTTATCCCCTCTTTCAATCACTCTCTTGAATGGCTCCTAGTAGATACAAAATGATTTATTCTCCAATGGGAAACTAGAACAGGGAGCCACTCGGTTTGCTTGCAACACCCCTTTCCACCCACTCACCAGAGCTACCTTGGCAAGTATTCTAGGAGTATGGGAAAATGAAAACAACAAACTCACACACCTTTTTAACATACACAACCAGTTCTGTCTAGTCAGCCAAGGTATATTCTTCTTATGTGGAACGTCGACCTATATCTGCCTCCCCACTAACTGGACAGGCACCTGCACCTTAGTCTTTCTAAGTCCCAACATTAACATTGCCCCAGGAAATCAGACCCTATCAGTACCCCTCAAAGCTCAAGTCCGTCAGCGCAGAGCCATACAACTAATACCCCTACTTATAGGGTTAGGAATGGCTACTGCTACAGGAACCAGAATAGCCAGTTTATCTACTTCATTATCCTACTACCACACACTCAGAGGATTTTTCAGACAATTTGCAAGAAACAACAAAATCTATCCTTACTCTACAATCTGAAATAGATTCTTTGGCAGCAGTGACTCTCCAAAACCACCAAGTCCTAGACCTCCTCGCTGCTGAGAAAGGAGGACTCTGCACCCTCTTAGGGGAAGATGTTGTTTTTACACTAACCAGTCAGGGGTATGAGATGCCACCCTGCACTCACAGGAAAAGGCTTCTGAAATCAGACAACGCCTTTCAAACTCTTATACTAACTTCTGCAGTTGGACAACCTGGCTTCTCCCCTTTTTAGGTCCCGTGGCAGCCATCTTGCTATTACTTGCCTTTGGGCCATGTATTTTTAACCTCCTTGTTAATTTGTTTCCTCTAGGATCAAGGCCATCAAGTTACAGATGGTCTTACAAATGGAACCCCAAATGAGTTCAACTAACAACTTCTACCGAGGAACCCTGGACTGACCTGCTGGCCCTTTCACTGGCCTAGAGAGTTCCCCTCTGGAGGACACTACAATTGTAGGGCCCCTTCATCACCCCATCCAGCAGGAAGTAGCTAGAGCGGTCACTGCCCAATTCCCAACAGCAGTTGGGTTGTCCTGTTTAGAGGGGGGATTGAGAGGTGAAGCCAGCTGGGCTTCTGGGTCGGGTGGGGACTTGGAGAACCTTTCTGTCTAGCTAAAGGATTGTAAGCACACCAATCAGCGCTCTGTGTCTAGCTAAAGGTTTGTAAACGCACCAATCAGCATTCTGTGTCTAGCTAAAGGTTTGTAAACACACCAATCAACACTCTGTAAAATGGACCAATCAGCAGGACATGGGTGAGCCAAATAAGGGAATAAAAGCTAGCCACCTGAGCCAGCAGTGGCAACCTACTCAGGTCCCCTTCCATGCTGTGGAAGCTTTGTTCTTTTACTCTTCACAATAAATCTTGCTGCTGCTCACTCTTTGGGTCAGCACTACCTTTATGAGCTACATAACACTCACTGTGAAGGTCTGTGGCTTCACTCCTGAAGTCAGCGAGACCACGAACCCACTAGGAGGAACAAACAACTCTGGACGCGCCACCTTTAAGGGCTGTAACACTCACTGCGAAGGTCTGCGGCTTCACTCCTGAAGTCAAGCAAGACCACGAACCCACTGGAAGGAAAAAACTCTGGACACATTTGAACATCTGAAGGAACAAACTCTGGACACACCATCTTTAAGAACTGTAACACTCACTGTGAGGGTCCGTGGCTTCATTCTTGAAGTCAGCAAGACCAAGAACCCACCAGAAGGAACCAATTCCAGACACAATACTAAACAAGCAGACAACAAAGGGAGATGCTTGATACATTTAACCTCATTAAAATTACAAACCTATGCACAACAGACATTATAAAAAAGGAAAAAGACAAGCCCACCTGCCAAGAGAAACATTTACAACATACAAAACATTCAAGTCATTGGTATGCAGCATATTTAAAGTAAGCCCACAAATCAACATAATAAACAATCCTATGGAAAAATGGGGAAAAGATGTAAACAGGCAATTATCAGAAAAAACATGATTGACCAATAAAAGAAAAGATGCTCATACTCACTAGTAGTCAGAGGAACAGGAAATAAAATAGCCCATCAGATTGGTGACAACAACAAAAAATTGTTTTAAGTATCTCTCAATATCAAGTGCTGGTGAGGATGTGAAGCAAGAGGAACTTCCAGTCTGCTTAAAGGAGTGTCAACTGTTAAAACCACTTTGGAGAGAAAGTTGGTATTATCTAGAAGTCATAAATACTCATCATCATCGACAACCCTTAAATGCTAATTTTAGGTATAAAAACTAGGAAAACTGTTACCGAGGTTCACAAGGAATCATATATATAAGAATAATTACTTTAATGTTGTTAATTCAAATTGTTTATACAGTCTGGGCATGGTGGCTCACACCTGTAACCCCAGCACTTTGAGACGCTGAGGTGGGAGGTTCACTTGAGCCCAGGAGTTCAAGACTAGCTCTCCATTTTAAATATTAAACATATTTTGTAAAATACATATTTCTTGTGAGTATGATAATGCCTTTGTTGTCCCCACATCCATTCCCACAACCATTTTCCCACCCCTTAAATTCACATTTTTGTCTTTGTGAGGCTATTTGTGTCCATGCCTGTTAACTCAGGAGCAAGGCTTTAAGACATGACATAAAAGTTTTGTTTCAACTAAGAAATAAGCAACAGTTGGAGACAAACTACAGTGGATACTGTGGTAGTCCACCCTGATCTTTCTTCAGGGTCAGGTCCAGCCATTCCCAGCCCAGCTATGAATGCCCCTCTGCTGATACAGCCCTTGGCCACAGAGAACTGCCTCACCCAATAATCTTAAGATATAAACACCAAGTCTCTTGCCCCAGTTTGTAAATACTCTGAAGAGCCAATGCAGTTCAAGGATACTCCACCCTGCCCAATTTGAGATCGCTCACTTCCTTACAGATCTCTTTCCCAAGAGCACTCACCAATACATCTTCTACATGCAATTCTCTATCTTGATGTCTAATTTCAGCTAATCCACTCTAAGACAAAAGTTCTCCAAAATAAATAACCCCCTTCTTAAGAAACTACATTAAGAAGAAAATACTTGAAAAGAAATGTGCTTTATATATATCAAAAGGTTCCATATTGAATGTTATTGTAATTTTTTCAAAAGATATCTATGGTTCTTCAGTGACACAATAGTAACATACCAGCATCTAAGCATAAGTCTACCTAGCCAAAAATCTGGGTTTGGAGAAATTTCTAAATAGTTTGAGAAAACTCTCAAACATACATTCATATGAAACTCACCATTTCAAAAGCCTAAAAGTTTTACATTTTGTCAACAGTTATATATTTTGGAAATAAAGTATTGAATACCCAGCCCATCTTTTTGATATAAACATAATAGTTTAAATTTTCATTAAAATTAATATTTTCAGAGGTGTTTCGAAGATGGCCAAATAGGAACAGCTCCAGTCTACAGCTCCCAGTGTGAGTGACACAGAAGACGGGTGATTTCTGCATTTCCAACTGAGGTACCTGGTTCATCTCATGGGGACTTGTCGGACAGTGGGTGCAGGACAGTGGGTGCAGCCCACCGAGCGTGAGCCAAAGCAGGGTGAGGCATCGTCTCACCCAGGAAGTGCAAGGGGTCAGGGAATTCCCTTTCCAGCCAAGGGAAGCTCTGACAGATGGCACCTGGAAAATCAGGTTACTCCCACCCTAATACTGCACTTTTCCAATGGTCTTAGCAAAAGGCACACCAGGAGATTATATGCTGCGCATAGCTCCGAGGGTCCCACGTCCAGAGCCTTGCTCATTGCTAGCACAGCAGTCTGAGATCGAACTGCAAGGTGGCAGCGAGGCTGGGGGAGGGGCGTCCACCATTGCTGAGGCTTGAGTAGGTAAACAAAGCAGCTGTGAAGCTCAAACTGGGTGGAGCCCACCTCAGCTCAAGGAGGCCTGCCTGCCTCTATAGAGTCCACCTCTGTGGGCAGGGCATAGCTGAACAAAAGGCAGCAGAAACTTCTGCAGACTAAAATGTCCTTGTCTGACAGCTTTGAAGAGAGTAGTGGTTCTCCCAGCACTTTTTTGAGATCAGAGAATGGACAGACTGCCTCCTCAAGTCGGTACCTGACCCCCAAGTAGCCTAACTGGGAGGCACCCTCCAGTAGGGGAAGACTGATAACTCACACAGCCAGGTACCCCTCTGAGATGAAGCTTTCAGAGGAACAATCAGGCAGAAACATTTGCTGTTCAGCAATATTCGCTGTTCTGCAGACTCCGCTGCTGATATCTAGGCAAACAGTGTCTGGAGTGGACCTCCAGCAAACTCCAACAGACCTGCAGTTGAGGATCCTGACTGTTAGAAGGAAAACTAACAAACAGAAAGGACATCCACACCAAAACCCCATCTGTACGTCACCATCACCAAAGATCAAAGGTAGATAAAATCACAAAGATGGGGATAAAACAGAGCAGAAAAGCTGAAAATTCTAAAAATTGAGTGCCTCTCCCCCTCCAAAGGAACACAGCTCCTCGCCAGCAACAGAACAAAGCTGGATGGAGAATGACTTTGATGAGTTGAGAGAAGGCTTCAGACGATCAAACTTCTCCAAGCTAAAGGAGGAAGTTCGAACCCATCACAAAGAAGATAAAAACCTTGAAAAAAGATTAGATGACTGGCTAACTAGAATAACCAGTGTAGAGAAGTCCTCAAATGACCTGATGGAGCTGAAAACCATGGCATGAGAACTACGTGATGAATGCACAGCTTCAGTAGCCAATTCAATCAACTAGAAGAAAGGGTATCAGTGATTGAAGATCAAATTAATCAAATGAAGCAAGAAGAGAAGTTTAGAGAAAAAAGAGTAAAAATAAATGAACAAAGCCTCCAAGAAATATGGGACTATTTGAAAAAAACAAATCTATGTCTGATTGGTGTACCTGAAAGTGACGGGGAGAATGGAACCAAGTTGGAAAACACTCGGCAGGATATGATCTAGGAGAACTTCCCCAACCTAGCAAGGCAGGCCAACATTCAAATTCAGGAAATAAAGAGAATGCCACAAAGATACTTCTCAAAAAGAGCAACTCCAAGACACATAATTGTCACATTCACCAAAGTTGAAATGAAGGAAAAAATGTTAAGGGCAGCCAGAGAGAAAGGTCGGGTTAACCACAAAGGGAAGCCCATCAGACTAACAGCGGATCTCTCGGCAGAAACTCTACAAGCCAGAAGAGAGTAGGGACCAATATTCAACATTCTTAAAGTAAAGAATTTTCAACCCAGATTTCATATCCAGCCAAACTAAGCTTCATAAGTGAAGGAGAAATAAAATACTTTACAGACAAGCAAATGCTGAGAGATTTTGTCACCACCAGCCCTGCCCTACAAGACCTCTTGAAGGAAGCCCTAAACATGGAAAGGAACAACTGGTACCAGCCACTGCAAAAACATGCCAAATTGTAAAGACCATCAATGGTAGGAAAAAACTGCATCAACTAACGAGCAAAATAACCAGCTAACATCATCATGACAGGAACAAATTCACACATAACAATATTAACCTTAAATGTAAATGGGCTAAATGGTCCCATTAAAACACACAGACTGGCAAATTGGATAAAGAGTCAAGACTCATCAGTGTGCTGTATTCAGGAGATCCATCTCACATGCAGAGACACACATAGGCTGAAAATACAGGGATGGAAGAAGATCTACCAAGCAAATGGAAAACAAAAAAAAGCAGGGATTGCAATCCTAGTCTCTGATAAAACAGACTTTAAACAACCAAGATCAAAAGAGTCAAAGAAGGCCATCACATAACGGTAAAGGGATCAATTCAACAAGAGCTAACTATCCTAAATATCTATGCACCCAATACAGGGGCACCCAGATTCATAAAGCAAGTCCTTAGAGACCTATAAAGAGACTTGGACTCCCACACAATAATAACGGGAGACATTAACACCCCACTGTCAACATTACACAGATCAACGAGACAGAAAGTTAACAAGGATATCCAGGAATTGAACTCAACTCTGCACCAAGCAGACCTAACAGACATCTACAGAACTCTCCACCCCAAATCAATAGAACATACATTCTTCTCAGCACCACATCACACTTATTCCAAAATTGACCATATAGGTGGAAGTAAAGCACTCCTCAGCAAATGTAAAAGAATAGAAATTATAACAAACCATCTCTCAGACCACAGTGCAATCAAACTAGAACTCAGGATTAAGAAACTCACTCAAAATTGTTCAACTACATGGAAACAGAACAACCTCTCCTGAATGACTACTGGGCATCTAACAAAATGAAGGCAGAAATAAAGATGTTCTTTGAAACCAGTGAGAATAAAGACACAACATACCAGAATCTCTGGGACACATTTAAAGCAGTGTGTAGAGGGAAAATTATGGCACTAAATGCCCACAAGAGAAAGCAGGAAAGATCTAAAATTGACATTCTAACATCACAATTAAAAGGACTAGAGAAGCAAGGGCAAACACATTCAAAAGCTAGCAGAAGGCAAGAAATAACTAAGATCAGAGCAGAACTGAAGGAGATAGAGACACAAAAAATCCTTCAAAAAATCAGTGAATCCAGGTGCTGGTTTTTTGAAAAGATCAACAAAATTCATAGACCACTAGCAAGATTAATAAAAAAGAAAAGAGAGAAGAATCAAATAGATGCAATAAAAAATGATATAGGGGATATCACCACCGATCCCACAGAAATATAAACTAACATCAGAGAATACTATAAACACCTCCATGCAAATAAACTAGAAAATCTAGAAGAAATGGATAAATTCCTGGAAACATACACCCTGCCAAAACTAAACCAGGAAGAAGTTGAATCCCTGAATAGACCAATAACAGGCTCTGAAACTGAGGCAATAATTAATAGGCTACAACCAAAAAAACTCCAGGACCAGAAGGATTCACAGCCAAATTCTACCACAGGTACAAAGAGGAGATGGTACCATTCCTTCTGAAACTATTCTAATCAATAGAAAAAGAGGGAATCCTCCCTAACTCATTTTATGAGGCCAGCATCATCCTGATACCAAAGCCTGGCAGAGACACAATAAAAGAATTTTAGACCAATATCCCTGATGAACATCGATGCAAAAATCCTCAATAAAATACTGGCAAACTGAATCCAGCAGCACATCTAAACGCTTAGCCACCATGATCAAGTGGGCTTCATCCCTGGGATGCAAGGCTGGTTCAATAAATGCAAATCAATAAATGTAATCCAGCATATAAACAGGACCAATGACAAAAACCATGTGATTATCTCAATAGATGCAGAAAAGGCCTTTGACAAAATTCAACAGCCCTTCAGGGTAAAAACTCTCAATAAATTAGGTATTGATGGGACCTATCTCAAAACAATAATAACTATTTGTGACAAACCCATAGCCAATATCATACTGAATGGGCAAAAACTGGAAGCATTTCCTTTGAAAACTGGCACAAGAGAGGGATGCCCTCTCTCACCACTCCTATTCAACATAGTGTTGGAAGTTCTGGCCAGGGCAATTAGGCAGGAGAAAGAAATAAAGGGTATTCAATTAGGAAAAGAGGAAGTCAAATTGTCCCTGTTTGCAGATGACATGATTGTATATCTAGAAAACCCCATCATCTCAGCCAAAAATCTCCTTAAGCTGATAAGCAACTTCCACA
Organism: Homo sapiens; assembly: GCF_000001405.40. NCBI lineage: Eukaryota > Metazoa > Chordata > Mammalia > Primates > Hominidae > Homo > Homo sapiens. The sequence goes on along the minus strand of NC_000005.10, from coordinate 97,302,843 downwards.
AAGTCTCAGGATACAAAATCAATGTGCAAGAATCACAAGCATTCTTATATACCAACAACAGACAAACAGAGAGCCCAATCACGAATGAACTCCCATTCACAATTGCTTCAAAGACAATAAAATACCTAGGAATCCAACCTACATTTCAAAGGCTGTGAAGGACCTCTTCAAGCAGAACTACAAACCACTGCTAAATGAAATAAAAGAGGACACAAACAAATGGAAGAACATTCTATGCTCATGGATAGGAAGAATCAATATGAAAATGGCCATACTGCCCAAGGTAATTTATAGATTCAATACCATCCCCCATCAAGCTACCAATGACTTTCTTCACAGAATTGGAAAAAACTACTTTAAAGTTCATATGGAACCAAAAAGAGCCTACATTGCCAAGTCAATCCTAAGCCAAAAGAACAAAGCTGGAGGCATCATGCTACCTGACTTCAAACTATACTACAAGGCTACAGTAACCACAACAGCATGGTACTGGTACCAAAACAGAGATATAGACCAATGGAACAGAACAGAGTCCTCAGAAATAATACTGTGTCCGTAATTGGTGGGTTCTTGGTCTCACTGACTTTTAGAATGAAGCCATGGACCCTCGCGGTGAGTGTTACAGTTACTAAAGGCAGCGTGTCCGGAGTTTGTTCCTTCTGATGTTCAGATGTGTTCGGAGTTTCTTCCTTTTGGTGGGTTCATGGTCTCGCTGGCTCAGGAGTGAAGCTGCAGACCTTCACGGTGAGTGTTACAGCTCATAAAGGCAGTGTGGACACAAAGAGTGAGCAGTAGCAAGATTTATTGCAAAGAGCAAAAGAACAAAGCTTCCACAGTGTGGAAGGGGACCCCAGCGGGTTGCCACTGCTGACTCTGGCAGCCTGCTTTTATTCTCTTATCTGGCCCCACCCACATCCTGCTGATTGGTAGAGCCAAGTGGTCTCTTTTGACAGGGTGCTGATTGGTGCATTTACAATCCCTGAGCTAGACACAAAGGTTCTCCATGTCCCCACCAGATTAGCTAGATACAGAGTGTCAACACGAAGGGTCTCCAAGGCCTCACCAGAGTAGCTAGATACAGAGTGTCGATTGGTGCATTCACAAACCCTGAGCTAGACACAGGGTGCTGATTGGTGTGTTTACAAACCTTGAGCTAGATACAGAGTGCCGATTGGTGTATTTACAATCCCTGAGCTAGACAAAAAGGTTCTCCACGTCCCCACCAGACTCAGGAACCCAGCTGGCTTCACCCAGTGGATCCTGCACTGGGGCTGCAGGTGGAGCTGCTTGCCAGTCCTGTGCCATGAGCCCACACTCCTCAGCCCTTGGGTGGTTGATGGGACTGGGTGCCGTGGAGCAGGGGGCAGTGCTCATCGCGGAGGCTCCGGCCACACAGGAGTCCACGGAGGGGGTGGGAGGCTCAGGCATGGTGGGCTGCAGGTCCCGAGCCCTGCCTCACGGGAAGGCAGCTAAGGCCCAGCGAGGAATCAAGCACAGCACTGGTGGGCTGGCACTGCTGGGGGACCCAGTACACCCTCCGCAGCCGCTGCCCTGGGTGCTAAGCCCCTTATTGCCTGGGGCCGGCAGGGCCGGCCGGCTGCTCCAAGTGCAGGGCCCGCCAAACCCATGCCCAGCTGGAACTCCAGCTGGCCCGCAAGTGCCGCGTGCAGCCCCGGTTCCCACTCACGCCTCTCCCTCCACACTTCCCTGCAAGCTGAGGGAGCCGGCTCCGGCCTTGGCCAGCCCAGAAAGGGGCTCCCACAGTGCAGCGGTGAGCTGAAGGGCTCCTCGAGTGCTGCCAAAGTGGTAGCCCAGGCAGAGGAGGCACCGAGAGCGAGCGAGGGCTCTGAGGACTGCCAGCACGCTGTCACCTCTCAATACCACACATCTACAACCATCTGATCTTTGACAAACCTGACAAAAACAAAAAATGGGGAAAGGATTCCCTATTTAATAAATGGTGCTGGGAAAACTGGCTAGCCATATGTAGAAAGCTGAAACTGGATCCCTTCCTTATACCTTATACAAAAATTAATTCAAGATGGATTAAAGACTTAAACGTTAGACCTAAAACCATAAAAACCCTAGAAGAAAACCTAGGCAATACCATTTAGGACATAGGCATGGGCAAGGACTGCATGTCTAAAACAGCAAAAGCAATGGCAACAAAAGCCACAATTGACAAATGGGATCTAATTAAACTCAAGAGTTTCTGCACAGCAAAAGAAACTACCATCAGAGTGAACAGGCAACCTACAGAATGGGAGAAAAGTTTTGCAACCTACTCATCTGACAAAGGGCTACTATCCAGAATCTACAAAGAACTCAAACAAATTTACAAGAAAAAAACAAACAACCTCATCAAAAAGTGGGCAAAGGACATGAACAGACACTTCTCAAAAGAAGACATTTATGCAGCCAAAAGACACATGAAAAAATGCTCGTCATCACTGGCCATCAGAGAAATGCAAATCAAAACCACAATGAGATACCATCTCACAGCAGTCAGAACACCGATCATTCAACAGTCAGGAAACAACAGGTGCTGGAGAGGATGTGGAGAAATAGGAACACTTTTACACTGTCGGTGGGACTGTAAACTAGTTCATCCATTGTGGAAGACAGTGTGGTGATTCCTCAAGGATCTAGAACTAGAAATACCATTTGACCCAGCCATCCCATTACTGGGTATATACTCAAAGGATTATAAATCATGTTGCTATAAAGACACATGCACATGTATGTTTACTGCAGCACTATTCACAATAGCAAAGACTTGGAACCAACCCAAATGTCCATCAATGATAGACTGGAATAAGAAAATGTGGCACATATACACCATGGAATACTATGCAGCCATAAAAAAGGATGAGTTCATGTCGTTTGTAGGGACATGGATGAAGCTGGAAACCATCATTCTCAGCAAACTGTCACAAAGAAAAAAAAACAAACACTGCATGTTCTCACTGATAGGTGGGAATTGAACAATGAGAACACATGGACACAGGAAGGGGAACATCACATGCTGGGGCCTGTCGTGGGGTAGGGGGAGGAGGGAGGGCATAGCATTAGGGGATATACCTAATGTAAATGACGAGTTAATGGGTGCAGGACACCAACATGGCAACCTACCCTACAACTTAAAGTATAATAAAAAATAAAAAAATAAAAAATAAAATAAAATCAATTATGACAAACAAGCTTTTCTGATCCAAAAAAATTAAATCTAATTGATATTTCCTTAATTTCATTTTTTTTAAAATTTAAAATTTGAAATGAAAATATCACTTTAAATCTGATAGTATTGATATAGGAGTTAAGAAGGAATTACTTAGGCTAATAGCAAGAGCATGAGAGCCCTCGGTAAGGCTTTTCTTTTTTTTTTTTTTTTTTTAATGAAAAGCAGCCCCACATCATTTTCTGTAAAATCAGCCTGTAAAATCAGGCTGCAGACACAGATAAGCAAGCTGGGAGCTTGCCTGGGTCAAGGCCAGCAGCAACTAGGGACTAGACATGTTCAAAATGGCGGCTTCATCTTCCTTCTTCTTTGTCAGCCAAGAGTATAGTAAAGAGCAGACAAGATGGCACTGATCAACTGGAAAGTCCATTTGCATAATAATATTAGGGTGGGGCCACCAGCCTTCCCTGTGCACTATGTAGACATCATATCTGATAGAACCAATCTGTGAGCCCTACATACATCAGACACCATCGTCTCCAGCCTGCCTATAAAATTTGCTGCAGTCCGCTTCTCTCCTCTCCCCTTTCTTGTGTCTATCATTTCCACTCCTTAACCCACCCACATGTGTCCGTGTCCTGAATTCTTTCTCAGCACACAACAATAAACCCCCAGGTATATATCCCATGGTATATACCTGCTGCTTGGTCGTATGGTTGCTTCAGTATTAAATACCAGGGCCAGGCATGGTGGCTCACGCCTGTAATCCCAGTACTTTGGGAGGCCAAGGCAGGCGGATCTCGAGGTCAGGAGTTCGAGACCAGCCTGGCCAACATAGTGAAACCCCGCTCTACTAAAAATACAGAAACAACCTGGGTGTGGTGGCATGCACCTATAACCCAAGCTACTTGGGAGGCTGAGGTAGGAGAATTGCTTGAACCCGGGAGGCAGAGGTTGCAGTGAACCGAGATCATGCCACTGCACTCCAGCCTGGGCGACAGAACAAGACTGTCTAAAAATATAAAAAATGAAAATAAAGAGCTTATGTATTAGACAGACAAAAGAGGCATAGCAACATGGCCAAATTCTCTAGCGATCACCCCCCTGCAGGAACACCAAATTGAACAACTATCTACACAAGAAAGCATCCTCATAAGAACCAAAAAAAAAAAAAAGTGAGTGATTACTGTACCTGCTTTTAACAAAATATCAAGGAAAGAGGCATTAAAGAAGGTAGGAAAGGCAGTCTTGCATTGCCTATACCACCCTTCCATCATTTCGTGGCAGTACAGTCCAGATAATTACTATGCTTTGGGAAACCAGAGTGAAGTCAGTGTTGAACTTTGCATTGGAACTCAGTGCTACCTGTCATAGCAAAACACAATGCAAGGCAGAGAGCTTTGCTGGTATCGACAGGAAACATTTAGACCAGCCCTGGGCCGGAGGGAAACTCTCAGCCCCAGCAGGAGGAACCCAGATCACAGCTGGTTCCACCACTGGCTGACTAAAGTGACCTAGGGCCTGGAATAAAACTGAGTGGCCATCTGGCGAAAAGGACTACTGTCCTTGGGCAAGGCCTGGTGCTGCACTAGTCTCAGAGGCAATAAGACTTGGGGTGCATGTGACCCAGTGTTATACCAGCTGTGGCAGGTAAGAGAATAAAACTGAGTGGCCATCTGCCCAAAGGACTACAGTCCTTGGGCAAGGCCTGGTGCTGCACTAATCTCAGAGGCAATGGGACTTGGGGTGCATGTGACCAAGTGTAACACCAGCTGTGGCAGCTAAGAGATTACTCATGTCACCCCTCCCAGAACTCTTGGCAGTGCAGCTTGGGGAGAGATTCCTACTTGGGGAAAAGAGAGGGAAGAATACAGAGGACTTAAGTCTTAGAAGTTGGGTACTAGCTTAGCCACAGTAAAATAAACATCAAGAAGAGCCCTAAAGCTCCTGACTCTAGGCCCTAGCTCCTGAACAGCATTTATACACCGACCCTGGGCCAGAGGAGAACTTGCTAACCTGAAGGGAAAGACACAAGCCTGGCTAGACTCATCACCTCCTGACTAAAGTGCCCTTGGCCCTTGATAAACATCAGCTTTAGCCAGGCAATAGTGACCACAGACCTTTAGCAAGACCCAGTCCTGGGCTGGTTATAAGTTGGACCCAACAGGGTCCCAGTCATGGTGGCTATAGGTGTGCTTTTGACACCCCTTCCCCAACCCCAGGCAGTTCAGCACAGGGACTTCATTTGTTTGGGGGAAAGCAAGGGAAGAGAACAGGAGTCTCTGCCTGATAATCCAGTGAATTCTCTCAGATCTTATCCAAACCACCACCAAAGCGGTACCACTAGGAGTCTCTGTGACTCTTGTCACAGAGGCACCTCTGTGACTCTTGTAGAGTCACAGCGTTACTGGGCTTGGGGTGCGCCCTAATGTAGATATGGCTGCACTGACCAAAATCTTAGATCACAACACTCAATTCGCTTTGAATACTTGGAAAGCCTTCCTAATATGGGTGGGTGCAAACAAGTCCAAACTGCAAACATTGTAATAAACACCTAGCTCTTCAATGCCTAGACATCAATTAATGTCCACAAAGATCAAGAGCATCCAAGAAAACATGACCTCACCAAACAGACTAAAGAGTGACAGAGATATACGAATTTTCAGACAGGGAATTCAAAATAGCCGTCTTGAGGAAGCTAAACAAACTCCAAGATAACACAGACAAGGAATTCAGAATTCTATCAGAGAAATTTAACAAAGAGTAATTGATTTTTTAAAATATCAAGCAGAAATTTGGGAGCTTAAAAATTAAATTGACAAATTGAAAAATAAACACAAAGTCTTTAGCGAGCAGAATTGATCAAGCAGAAGAAAGAATTAGTAAACCTGAAGATAGGCTGTATGAAAATACAGTCAGAGAAGACAGAAAAGAGAAGAAAGCATACCTACAAGATCTAGAAAACAGCCTCAAAGGGTCAAATCTAAGAGTTGTTGGCCTTAAAGAGGAAGGAGAGAGAGAGAGAGACAGAGACAGAGACAGAGAGAGAGAAGTTTATTCAGAGAAATAGTAACAGGGCTTAGGATTGACTTGGCGATGCGGGCTCTTTTTTAGTTCCATATGAACTTTAAAGTAGTTTTTTCCAATTCTGTGAAGAAAGTCATTGGGTGCTTGATGGGGATGGCATTGAATCTGTAAATTACCTTGGGCAGTATGGCCATTTTCACGATATTGATTCTTCCTACCCATGAGCATGGAATGTTCTTCCACTTGTTTGTATCCTCTTTTATTTCCTTGAGCAGTAGTTTGTAGTTCTCCTTGAAGAGGTCCTTCACATCCCTTGTAAGTTGGATTCCTAGGTATTTTATTCTCTTTGAAGCAATTGTGAATGGGAGTTCACTCATGATTTGGCTCTCTGTTTGTCTGTTGTTGGTGTATAAGAATGCTTGTGATTTTTGTACATTGATTTTGTATCCTGAGACTTTGTGGAAGTTGCTTATCAGCTTAAGGAGATTTTAGGCTGAGACGATGGGGTTTTCTAGATATACAATCATGTCATCTGCAAACAGGGACAATGTGACTTCCTCTTTTCCTAATTGAATACCCTTTATTTCCTTCTCCTGCCTAATTGCCCTGGCCAGAACTTCCAACACTATGTTGAATAGGAGTGGTGAGAGACGGCATCCCTGTCTTGTGCCAGTTTTCAAAGGGAATGCTTCCAGTTTTTGCCCATTCAGTATGATATTGGCTGTGGGTTTGTCATAGATAGCTCTTATTATTTTGAAATACATCCCATCAATACCTAATTTATTGAGAGTTTTTACCATGAAGGGCTGTTGAATTTTGTCAAAGGCCTTTTCTGCATCTATTGAGATAATCATGTGGTTTTTGTCTTTGGTTCTGTTTATATGCTGGACTACATTTACTGATTTGCGTATATTGAACCAGCCTTGCATCCCAGGGATGAAGCCCACTTGATCATGGTGGCTAAGCTTTTTGATGTGCTGCCGGATTCGGTTTGCCAGTATTTTATTGAGGATTTTTGCATCAATGTTCATCAAGGATATTGGTCTAAAATTCTCTTTTTTGATTGTGTCTCTGCCCGACTTTGGTATCATCACACTACCTGACTTCAAACTATACTACAAGGCTACAGTAACCAAAACAGCATGGTACTGGTACCAAAACAGAGATATACATCAATGGAACAGAACAGAGCCCTCAGAAATAATGCCACATATCTACAACTATCTGATCTTTGACAAACCTGACAAAAACAAGAAATGGGGAAAGGATTCCCTATTTAATAAATGGTGCTGGGAAAACTGGCTAGCCATATGTAGAAAGCTGAAACTGGATCCCTTCCTTACACCTTATACAAAAATCAATTCAAGATGGATTAAAGACTTAAACGTTAGACCTAAAACCATAAAAACCCTAGAAGAAAACCTAGGCATTACCATTCAGGACATAGGCATGGGCAAGGACTTCATGTCTAAAACACCAAAAGCAATGGCAACAAAAGCCAAAATTGACAAATGGGATCTAATTAAACTCAAGAGTTTCTGCACAGCAAAAGAAACTACCATCAGAGTGAACAGGCAACCTACAAAATGGGAGAAAATTTTCGCAACCTACTCATCTGACAAAGGGCTAATATCCAGAATCTACAATGAACTCAAACAAATTTACAAGAAAAAAACAAACAACCCCATCAAAAAGTGGGCAAAGGACATGAACAGACACTTCTCAAAAGAAGACATTTATGCAGCCAAAAAACACATGAAAAAATGCTTACCATCACTGGCCATCAGAGAAATGCAAATCAAAACCACAGTGAGATACCATCTCACACCAGTTAGAATGGCAATCATTCAAAAGTCAGGAAACAACAGGTGCTGGAGAGGATGTGGAGAAATAGGAACACTTTTACACTGTTGGTAGGACTGTAAACTAGTTCAACCATTGTGGAAGTCAGTGTGGCGATTCCTCAGGGATCTAGAACTAGAAATACCATTTGACCCAGCCATCCCATTACTGGGTATATACCCAAAAGACTATAAATCATGCTGCTATAAAGACACATGCACACGTATGTTTATTGCGGCATTATTCACAATAGCAAAGACTTGGAACCAACCCAAATGTCCAACAATGATAGACTGGATTAAGAAAATGTGGCACATATACACCATGGAATACTATGCAGCCATAAAAAATGATGAGTTCATGTCTTTTGTAGGGACACGGATGAAATTGGAAATCATCATTCTCAGTAAACTATCACAAGAACAAAAAACCAAACACCGCATATTCTCACTCATAGGTGGGAATTGAACAATGAGAACACATGGACACAGGAAGGGGAACATCACACTCTGGGGACTGTTGTGGGGTGGGGGGAGGGGGGAGGGATGGCATTGGGAGATATACCTAATGCTAGATGACGAGTTAGTGGGTGCAGTGCACCAGCATGGCACATGTATACATATGTAACTAACCGGCACATTGTGCACATGTACCCTAAAATTTAAAGTATAATAATAATAAATAAAAAAAAGAAATAATAACAGGGAACTTTTCAAACACAGAGAAAGATAAGAATACCCAGGTACAAGAAGGTCACAGAATACCAATAAGATTCAACCCAAAAAAGATGATTTCAAGGTATATAATAATCAGACTCTCAAAGGGCAAGGATAAAGAAAGAATCCTAAAAGCCACAAGAGAAAAGAAGCAAATAACATATGAAGGAGCTCTGATATGTCTGGCAGCAGACTTCTCAGCAGAAGCCTTACCAGCTAGGACAGAGTGAAATGACATATTCAAAGTGCTGAAGGAAAACAAACTCAACCTAGAATAATATATCCAGCAAAATTATCCTTCAAACATGAAGGAGAAATAAATACTTTCACAGAAAACAAAAGCTGAGAGATTTTGTCAAATATCAGATCTGTCTTACAAAAAATACTAAAGGGAATTCTTCAATCTGAAAGAAAAAGATGTGAATAAACAATAAGAAATCCTCTAAAGGTATAAAACTAAATCACTGATAATAATAAGTACACAGACAAATATGGAATACTTTAAAACTATAATTGCAGTGTGTAAAATACTGATATTTAGTAGGAAGACTAAAAGACAAACCTACCAAAAATTAGTAACTACAACTTTTTAAGAGATTGACAATATAAAAATACATAAATTGAGACGGCAAAAAGTCAAAAAGCAGGAGGATGGAGTTAAAATGTAGAGTTTTTTAGTATTCTCTTTGCTTATTTGTTTTATTTTACTTCCTTGTAATCAGAGTTAACTTGTCATCAGTTTAAAATATTTGGTTATAAGATGTTATTTGCAAACCTCATGGTAAAAATAAAAAACCTGTAATAAATACACAGATATTTTAAAAACAAGAAATTAAAACATACTATCAGAGAAAATTACTTTTACACAAAAAGTGCTTTTCTTTCATCCTTTCTGTCGTCTTTCTATCACTGAAGGAATTGAGAAAGAAATTTTTAAAGTTTTTTGAAACAAATAAAAATGGAAACACATTTACCAAATTCTTGGGATGCAGCAAAAGCAATAATAAGGGGGAACTTTAAAGCAACAAACATATACCATAAAAAGATAAACTTCAAATAAACAATATAACAATGCATCTTAAAGAACTAGAAAAACAAAAGCAATGAAAACCCAAATTAGTAGAAGAAAATAAATAATAAATATCAGAGCAAAATAAATATAATTTAGGCTAAAAATATAAATGATCAATGAAACAAAAAGATAAACAAAATCTTTTGTGAAAAGATAGACAAAATTGACAAACTGTAGCCATATTAACTAAGAAAAAAAACAGAAAAGACTCAATCAATAAAACCAGAGATGAAAAAGCAGACATTACAACTGATACCACAGAAATCCAAACGATCATTAAAAACTATTGTGAACAACCATATGCCAATAAATTAGAAAAGCTAGTAGAAACAGATAAATCCCTAGGCACATTACAACCTGCAAAGTTTGAACCATGAAGAAATCCAAAACCTGAATAGACCATAATAAGTAAAGAGATAGAACAGTAATAAAATGTCTCCCGTCAAAGACAAGCCCAGGACCGAATGACTTCACTGCTAAATTCTACCAAACATTTAAATAAGAAATCATATCAATCATACTCAAACTACATCAAAAATGTGAGGAGGAGGGAATACTTTCAAACTCATTCTAGGAGGCCAGCATTACACTAATATGGAAACCACACAAATCTACAATAACAACAACAAAAAAACCTACAAGCCAATATTCCTAATGAACACAAATGCAAAAATTCTCAACAAATACTAGTAAACCAAATTCAACAACACATTAAAAAGATCATTTATCACAATCAAGTAGGATTCATCCCACAAATGTGAGATTGGTTCAACATATGCAAATTTTAATATGTGATACATCACATCAACAGAATGAAGGACAAAAACCACATGATCATTTTAGTAGATGCCAAGAAAAATCAACTGATAAACTTCAGCATCAGGCCTGGCACAGCAGTGGCTCATGCTTGTAATCCCAACACTCTGGGAGGTTGAGGCAGGAGGATCCTTTGAGGCCAGGAGTTCAAGACCAGCCTAGGCAACATAGCAAAATCCTATCTCTATAAAAGAAAGAAAGATAAGAGAAACATTTTTCACAAGGCATCCATTTTCATAAAAAAATTCATATCAGTTTATGGTAGACACTTTCAAAAAATTGGGTAGGTGGAAGATACTTCAACATGATAAAACCCATATATTACAAACCCACAGCTAGTATCATACAGAACAGGGAAAATCTAAAAGCCTTCTCTAAGTTCTGAAACAAGATAAGGATGCCTACTTCCACCATTTTTATTCAACATAGTACTAAAGTCCTAGCTAGAGCAAGTTAACAAAAGAAAGAAAGAAAGGGCATACAAACTGGAAAGGAAGAAGTCAATTTATTTTTGTCTGCAGATAATAAGATCTTATATTTGGGACAATCTAAAGATTCCACCAAAAAAAAACTATTATAACTGATAAACAAATTCAGTAAAGTTTCAGGATACAAAACCAACATACACAAATCAGTGTATTTCTATATGCCAACACTGAACAATCTGAAAAGAAATGAAGAAAGTAGTATCATTTACAGTAGCTACAATTAAAATAAAATACCTAGGAATTAACTTGACCAAATAAATGAAAGATCTTTACAATGAAAATCATAAAGCATTGATGAAAGAAATTGAAGAGGACACACCAAAAAAATGAAAAGATATTTTATGTTCATGAATTGGAAGAATCAATATTATTAAAATATCTATACTACTCAAAGTAATCTACAGATTCCATTTAATCCCTATCAAAATGAATACGTTATTAAAGAAATAGAAAAACAATTCTAAAATTTATATGGAACCACAAAAGACCCAAAATAGCCAAAGCTATCCTGAGCAAAATGAACAAAGCTGGAAGCATTACATTACCTGACTTTATACTATAGAATTATAGTAATCAAAACATCATGGTGCTGTGATAAAAACAGATGCATAAACCAGTGAAACAGAATAGAGAGCCCAAAAATCAATCCATGCATCTAAATTCAACTCATTTTTGATGAATGTACCAAGAACATATATTGGGGAAATGAAAGTCTCTTCAATAAATGGTGCCAGGAAAACTGGATATCCATATGCAGAAGAATGAAACTAGACCCCTATCTCTCACCATATACAAAACCAAAATCCAAACGAATTAAAGATTTAAATCTAAGATCTCAAATTATGAAACTACTATAAGAAAACATTGGGGAAACACTCCAAGGCATTGGTCTGGGCAAATATTTCCTGAGTAACACCTCAAAAGTACAGGCAACCAAACCAAAAATGGACAAATGGGATCACATCAAGTTAAAAAGCCTCGACACAGCAAAGGAAACCATCAACAAAGTGAACAGACAACCCACAGAATGGGAGAAAATATTTGAAAAACACCAATCTGACAGGGGATTAATAACAGGAAAGCTAAGGAGCTCAGACCACTCACTAGCGAACAATAATAATAATAATCTGTTTAAAAATGGGCAAAAGGTCTGACTAGGCATTTCTCAAAAGAAGACATACAAATGGCAAATAGGTGTAAGAAAAAATGCTCAAAGAAATACAAACCAAAACTATAATGAAATATCATTTCACTCCAGTTAAAATGGCTCATATTCAAAAGTCAGGCAGTAACAAATGCTGGTGAAGATGTGGAGAAAAGGGAACCCTCCTATACTGTTGGCCAGAGTGTACATAGTACAACCACTATGAGGAACACCATGAAGGTTCTTCAAAAACCTAAAAATAGAACTACCATATGATCCAACAATCTCACTTCTGGGTATATTTAAAAGAAAGAAATTAGTATAACAAAGAGATCTGCCCTCTCATGTTTATTGCAGCACTACTCACAATAGCCAAGATATGGAATCAACCTAAGTGTCCATCAATAGAGGAATGGACAAAGAAAATATGGTACAAATACACAATGGAATATTATTCAGCCATAAAGAAGAATGAAATCATTTCATTTGCAACAACATGGATGAAAGTGGAGGATATTATCTTAAGTGAAATAAGCCAAGCACAGAAACACCAATATTGCATGTAAAAGCAAAAAAAAAAAAAAAATTGACCTCATGGAAATAGAGTAGAATGATAGCTACCAGAGATTGGGAAGAGTAGTATTGGAGGGTAAATAAGGAGTTGCTGGTTAATGCATTCAAAAATAGAGTTAGATAGAATGAACAGATCTAGTGTTAGTAGCACATAGGGCAAGTATAGTTAAAAATAATGTATTATATATTTTAAATAACTAAAGGAGTGAAATTAGAATGTTCCTAACACAAAGAAATAATAAATGCTTGAGGTTATGGGTACCCTAATTACCCAGACTTGATCACTGCACACTGTATGCCTGTATCAAAGCATCAAATGTACCCCATAAATTTGTACAACTATTATGCACCCTTAATTTTAAAAAATGTTTAATCATAAGTGTTAGGCATTCTCTCTACTATGCCCTTTCTGTATAAATATATACTCCAATATCTAGATATCTATATTTATATGCACATTTATGTGTTCAACAACCTTAAGGTAGATTCTTTTCTTTCTTTCATAAAGGAGAAAATTGAGGTTCTTTCACAAATTTAAAAAATAAGATACTAAGTAAATTTTCCAGGGTCACATACCAATAGATGTTAAAACTTGGATTTGAAGTCAGGTTTGTGTGGTTCCTAAACCTATGCTTTTCAAAATAACATATCTTTTCTTCAAAATGAAGCATTTCAAAAATGTATCCATGGATCACAGAGGTAGTATGATCATGTGAAAGATCTGGGGAGGTAACAACAGGGGTGGGGGCTTTAATCGCTAGACTCAACTCTATTACTTAACAACCTATATGACCTAGACAAATAAAATACACTCTAAATTTTCATCTACTGCACTGACATTTCAATAAGCATTAATAGATATGTATAATAGATACCTATTGCTGAGTGCATGCAATGGGTTAGACATGCATAAATACCTGCAAATATTTTATTAAATCCTCACAAGAATTTTATGAAATAGATATTTTATCCATTTTGAAGATGAGAAAACTGAGTTCAGATATTCTAAGTGAATCGCTCAAAGGTATCGACTTCACAGGCTTCTTTACAGGAATTTAGCATGGTGAGTCATACTAAGATACTAAAGAAATTCTAAAATTCTATAGAAAGGCAAAGAAATACTACTTTTAAATTTTTATTTTATTTATTCTTTTACATTATTTTGTCTACAATTTATACACTCCCTATAAGATACAAGTTCTATTGGTCCTACAAGAAAAAAAAAGTGCTACCCCATGACAGGGTCTTATTGGTTTGGCTTCTTTTTTTTTTTTTTTTTTTTTCTTATTGAAACCTCTACATCAATCCTCAGTGGAAGAGAGATAAGTAAATTATTGATATGAGAGTTTACAGCAAATAGATACCTAAACTTAGTGTGCTTTGTCTTTCAAAATTATTTACTTTAACAAATCTAGACAGTCATTATCTTTCTCTCACTTTAAAATCAGGCAAATCAAAATTTAGGTTTAAAAAAATTAAACACATTTCTTATTTCACATTTATTCCCTACTGTTAAGTCAAGCCTTAATCAAAAAGTTAAAATATTTTAATGGAACAAATCTCAATGTATAGATTAGAAAATTACACAAAAATACACTATTTCATCAATGTTACAATGGCTCTTTATGACATTTTAATAACTTGAAATTAAGATGATTCTTTCAATCTATGGTGTGTCGTGGTTTATTGTCAATGTTTTTTCTTACTTTGAGATATATAAATCAATAGTGAAACACAGAATCAACAGCAACTTAAATTTGATCAAATATAGAAGCTTTAAGTATCATATTTCTCTACTCTTTTGAAATAAGTTTTTACTTATTTCAAAAACAGAACCCTTCGTTGCTTGATATCTTATTTATCAATCTGTGATGTTATTTTTTATTCAAACATTCGTAAAACTGTAACTCTAAGATTAACTGTTTTTACATTGTCCACTATGAATTTACATTAAAATTCAAACAAATTAGAATGAAATATGAGTCTTAGATATAATTATCAGAAAAGCCTTATATGTTAAAACATGTTTAGATTTTTTGAAGGATCATAACTTATTTTTGTTATCTAGTAGAAACTTATGAAAAATAGAGCATGCCAAATTATAAATTCGCCAAATAAAGACACACCTGACAGTTTCTCTGCAGTTCATTTTGTAGGCTCTGGTACATGTCAACATTTTATTCCTTCAGATCAGGCAAGGTTTATAAGTCGGACTTTTCTAGCTGTTATGGCCTAAATGATTCCCAAAATTTATGTGTTGAAACTTAACCCCCATTATGGTACTGCTAAGTGATAGAGCCTTTTGGAAAGTAACTAAGTCATGAGGGCTTCATTCTCATGAATGAATTCGTGTCTGATAAAAAGAGCTGGAGGGAGCTGACTTTGACCCCTCTTTCCCTACTATTCCTTCTGTCATGTGAGGATATAGCAAGAAGGCCCTCACCAAACCAAATGCTGGCATCTTGATCTTGAACTTCCCAGCCTCCAGAACTATAAGAAATAAATTTCTGTTCTTTATACATTGCCCAGTCTGTGGTATTTTGCTATAACTGCACAAACAAACTAAGACACTAATCAAATAAGAATTTCTTTCTGTAAAATCGAGAGATTCCATTAAGAGGATAATATGTACGTCGGGGGTTAAGATGGTAAGTACAAAATAATATATTCCAAGCAATTCAATTAGAAAAAGAATAAATTTTAAGATTATCAAGTAAGCCTTTGTTTTTCTTTAGATAAAACCAGACTTTTAAGTTCATCTCTGCATATTGCCAAAAACAACAAGAAAACATTGATGACAAACCTATTAAGTAAAAAGTATACTTGATAGAGCTTATATTAAATGAAGTCACTTGAGTTAAAAACCAATAAATGGTGCTGCAAAAACTGGATTGCCAGATGTGAAAGAATAAAACTGGACCCCACCTCTCATCATATACAAAAGTTAACTCAAGATGGATTAAAGACTTAAATGTACAACCCAAAACCATTTCAATAAATACTAAGAAAAGATCTAAGGATAACTCTTATAAGCATTGGTCGGGGCAAAAAATTTGTCACTAAAACATCAAAAGCATAGGCAATTTAAAAAGTAGGCAAATGGGAATTAATTAAACAAGAAGCTTCTGCACAGCCCAAGAAATAATCAACAGAGTGAACAGACAACTTGTAAAATGGGAGAAAATATCTACAAACTATTTATTTAGCAGGGGACTAATACCAAAATACACGAAAACTCAAACAACTTAACAAATAATCCCATTAAAAAGAGGGCAACAAAATTAGCCGGGCATGGTGGTGGGCACCTGTAGTCCCAGCTACTTGGGAGGCTGAGGCAGGAGAATGGCGTGAACCTGGGAGGCAGAGCTTGCAGTGAGCCAAGATCACACCACTGCACCCCAGCCTGGGCAACAGAGCGAGATTCCATCTCAAAAAAAAAAAAAAAAAAAAGAGGGCAACAATGGTATGCTGTCTTCAACAGACCCATCTCACATGTAATGACACTCATAGGCTCAAAATAAAGGAAAGGAGGCAAACCTATCAAGCAAATGGAAAAGAGAAAAAAGTATAGGTTTCAGTTCTAATTTCAGAAAAAACAGATTTCAAACCAACAAATATCAAAAAAGACAAAGAAGGGCATTACATAATCATAAAGGGTTCAATTCAACAAAAAGACCTAACTATCCTAAATATATATGCAGTCAACATAGGACCATCCAGATTTACAAAGAAAGTTCATAGAGAACTAAAAAGACACATATACTCCCATACAATTATAGTGGGAGACTTCAACACTACACTGATAGTAATAAATCATCGGTGGAGAAAATTAACCAAGATATTCAGGACCTGAATTCAACATTGGCTCAAATGAATCTGATAGACCTTTACAGAACTCTCCACCCCAAAAACAACAGAATATACATTCCTCTGATAACCATATGGCACATACTCTAAAATCGACCACAAAATTGGCCATGAAACAATCCTCAACAAATGCAAAAGAAAAAAATCATAAAATCATACTTAACACTTTCAGCACAATAAAAATAGAACTCAAGACTACAAAAACCACACAACTACAAAAAAATTAAACAAGATGCCCTTGAATGACATTTGGGTAAAAAATAAAACTAAAGCAGAAATCAAGAAGTTCTTTGAAAATAATGTGAACAAAGATACAACATATCAGAATCTCTGGGACCTAGGTAAAGCAGTGTTAAGAAGAAAATTTATAGCAATAAATGTCCACATTAAAAAGTTAGAAATATCTCAATTTAACAACCAAACATCACAACTGGAAGAATTAAAGAAGCAAGAACATATATATCAACCCCAAAGCTAGAAGAATAAAAAAAAATCAGAGCTGAACTGAAGGAAATCGAGACACAAAAAAACATTCAAAAGATCAACAAATCCAGGAGTTAGTTTTGTGAAAAAAATAATATGATAGATAGGCTGTTAGCTAGATTAATAAAAGAGAAAAGAGACAAGATCCAAATAAACATAAATAGAAATGATGATGGAAATGCTACTCCTGACTCCATTGAAATAAAAACAACCATCAAAAACTACTATGAACACCTCTATGCACACAAACTACAAAACCTAAAAGAGATAAATAAATTCCTGGACACATACACTCTTGCAAAAATGAGCCAGGAAGAAATAGATTCCCTAAACAGACTAATAACAGGCTCTGAAATTGAATCAGTAATAAAAAGTCTACCAACCAAAGAAAGCCCAGGACCTGATGGATTTATAGCCAAATTCTACCAGATGTACAAAGAAGAGCTGGTACCATTCCTGCTGAAACTATTCCCAAAAAAGGATAAGGAGGGACTCGTCTGCAACTCATTCTATAAGGTCAGCATCATCTTGATACCAAAACCTGGAAGAGACACAACAAAAAGAAGAAAACTTCAGACCAATATCCTTGATGAACATCAATGCAAAAATCCTCAACAAAATACGGCAAACTGAATCCAGCAGCACAATGAAAAGCTTATTGATGACAATCGAGTAAGATTCATCCTCAGAATGCAAGGTTGGTTCAACATACACAGATCAACAAATGTGACTCATCACATAAACAAAACTGAAGACAAAAATCACATGATTGTCTCAATAGACACAGAAACGGTTTTCTATAAAATTCAACACCACTTCATGTTTTAAACTCACAATTAACTAGGTATTGAAGGAGCATACTTCAAATAATAAGAGCCATCTATAACAAACCCACAGCCAACATTATACTGAATGGGCAAAAGCTGGAAACATTTACCTTGAAAACCAGTACAAAACAAGGATGCCCTCTCTCACCACTTCTATCCAACATACTATTGGAAGTCCTAGCCAGAGCAATCAGGCAAGAGAAAGAAATAAAAGGCATCCAAATAGGAAAAGAGGAAGTCAAACTATCCCTGTTTGCAGATAACATAATTCTATATCTAGAAAATCCCCTAGTCTCATAACCTCCAAAAGCTCCTTCAGCTTATATACAACTTCAGCAAAAATTTCAGGATGTAAAAATCAACATACAAAATATTCCCTTTACACCACCAACAATCAAACTAACAGCCAAATCAGAAAGGCAATCCTATTCACAATTGTCATTAAAAAAAGATAAAATACCTAGGCATACAGCTATCTAGGCAGGTGAAATATGTCTACAATGAGAATTACAAAACACTGCTCAAATAAATCAGAGAAGACACAAACAAATGGAAAAACACTCCATGCTCACGGATAGGAAGAATCAATATCATTAAAATAGCTATACTGCTCAAATCAATTTACAGATTCAATGCTATTCTTGTCCAACTACCATTGACATTCTTCATAGAACTAGAAAAAAACTATTTAAAATTCATATGGAACCAAAAAAGAGCCTGAATAGCCAAGGCAATCCTAAGGAAAAAGAACAAAGCTGGAAGCATCACATTACCTGACTTCAAATCATACCACAAGGCTACAGTAATCAAAACAGCATGGTACTGGTACAAAAAAGGCACATAGGTCAATGGAACAGAATAGAGAGCCCAGAAATAAGCCCAAAGATCACAAATCTATGAGTGTCTGATCTCCAACAAAGCTGACAAAAACATGCAATGGGGAAAAGACTTCCTATTCAATAAATGATGCTGGGATAACTGGCTAGCCATATGCAGAAGATTGAAGCTGGAGTCCTTCCTTACATCAAATAAATAAATCAACTAGAGATGGATTAAAGACTTAAACGTAAAATTTAAAACCATAAAAACCCTGGAAGACAACCTAGGCAATTTCATCCTAGACACAGGAACAGGCAAAGATTTCATGACAAAGAGACCAAAAGCAATAGTAAAATTGAAAAGTGGGAGCTAATTAAACTTATGAGCTTCTGCATAACAAAAGAAACTATCAACAGAGTAAACAGACAATCTATAGATTGGGAAAAAATATTTGCAAACTATGCATCTGACAAAGGTCTAATAACCAGCATACGTAAGAAACTTAAACAAATTTCCAAAAAAAAAATGATCCCATTAGAAAGTGGGCAAAGGACACGAACAGACACTATACAAAAGAAGACATACATGCAGCCAACAAGCATATGAAAAAAGGCTCAATATCACTGACCATTAGAGAAATGCAAATCAAATACACAATAAGATATCATCTCACACCAGTAAGAATGGCTATTAAAAAGTCCAAAAATAGCAGATGCTGGCAAGGTTGTGGAGAAAAGGGAACACTTCTACACAGTTTGTTGGAGTGTAAACCAGTTCACTCATTGTGGAAAGTGGTATGGCGATTCCTCAAAGAGCTAATAGCAGAACTATCATTCAACCCAGCAATCCCATTACTGGGTATATATCCAGAGGAATATAAATTATTCTACCATAAAGACACATGCACATGAATGTTCATTGCAGTGCTATTCACAATAGCAAAAACATAGAATCAACCTAAATACCCATCAATGACAGATTGGATAAAGAAAATGTGGTACACATAAACCATGGAATACTATGCAGTCATAAAAAGAATGAGATTTTGTCTTTTGCAAGAACACAGATACAGCCAGAGGCTATTGTCCTTAGCAAACTAATGCAGGAACACAAAACCAAATACCACATGTTCTTACTTATAGGTGGGAGCTAAATGACAAGAACTTACGAACAAAAAGAAGGAAACAACAGACACTAGAGTCTACTTGAGGGTGGAGGGTGGGAGGAGGAAGAGAAGCGGAACAGATAACTATTGGCTACTGTGCTTGATACCTGAGTGATGAAATAATCTGTACAACAAACCCCCATGACAGGAATTTATCTACACAGCAAACCTTCACATGTACTCCTGAACCTAAAAGTTAAAAGTATATATTTTTAAAAAGTGGACAAAGGACATGAACAGACATTTCTCAAAATAAGACATACAAATGGCTAACAGGTATAAGAAAAAATGCTCAACATCACTAATCATCAGAGAAATGCAAATTAAAACTACAAGATATCATCTTAACCCAGTAAAGATGGCTATTATTAAAAAGAGAGAAAATAACAGATGTTGGCAAGGTTGTAGAGGACCTTGCCAACATCTTATACACTGTCTTATACACTGTTGTGTATAAGTCTTATACACTGTTGTGTATAAGTCTTATACACTGTTGTGTATAAGTCTTATACACTGTTGTGTATAAGTCTTATACACTGTTGTGTATAAGTCTTATACACTGTTGGTGGAAATGTATAAGGAAGTCTTATACACTGTTGGTGGAAATGTAAATTATTACAACCTCTGTGGAAAACAGTATGGCGATTTCTCAAAGAAGTAAAAGTAGAATTATCATTTGATCCAACAAACCCACTGCTTGGTATCAATCTATCAAAAAGATGCCTGCACCCATATGTTATCACAGTATTATTCACAATAGCAAAGTTATAGAATCAACCTACGTGTTCATCAATGGAAGACTGGGTAAAGAAAATGTAGTATATATACACAATGGAATATGTATTCAGCCATAGAAAAAAATGAAATCATATTTTTAGCAGCAACATGGATAAAACTGAAGGTCATTATCTTAAGTGAAACAAGTCAGACATGGAAAGTTAAATATCACATGTTATCACTCATAAGTGGGTGCTAAAAAACCATGAGCACACAGACATAGAGGGTAGAATGAGACAATGGAGACTCAGATGGGGGCAGGGGGGTGGGAGGGGTGAATGATGAGAAATTACTTAATAAGTATAGTTAATGAAATTTAGTGGATAGATACCTGAAAGCCCTGACTTGACCACTGCATAATCTATGCATGTAACAACATTGCACTGGAACCCCATAAATTTATACAAATTTTAAAAATTAAGTAACAACAATGTCATATTTTTTAGAAATAGAAGCTTAGGGGGGCTTGATAAATACTTTTCTCCATTAAGTTAGACATATAAAACTTACATTTTTGGCCGGGTGCAGTGGCTCATGCCTGTAATCCCAGCACTTTGTGAGGCCGAGGTGGGTGGATCACAAAGTCAGGAGTTCAAGACCAGCCTGACCAATACGGTGAAACGCCAACTCTGCTAAAAATACAAAAATCAGCCGGGCGTAGTAGGACGCATCTGTAGTCCCAGCTACTTGGAGGCTGAGGCAGGAGAATCACTTGAACCTAAGAAGTGGAGGTTACACTGAGCCAAGATTGCACCACTGAACTCCAGCCTAGCTGACAGAGTGAGACTCCATCTCCAAAAAAAAAAAAAAAACACCTTACATTTTTAACAAGCATGTATACAAAGCTTCACTGTAAAAGACTATCTAAAAAATAACACTTCTCAGAACTATACATTTCTCAGAAAAATGGGGTCCAGCTGGAGCTGGGCAAATTAAATGGGATTTTACCTCCACTTCAGGTACAATTATTGCTACAATTCTGCACTAAAAAGTGGGATAACTGAAATACTTTAAAAACTAAGATATTATTGATGATAATGTAATCCTAAGGTTAGGAGAAAAGGCTGCCCAAATTCTCTTGTCTCTCCTCTCCTCATCTATTTTTTAACATCCTTTTGTCAAAAAAGTTTCCTCATAAACGGTCATAAGGCTTACATGCAGGCTTCTTTCTACAATATTAATAATAAACCCATTTCATTTCATTGCTGAATTTTTTTAAAGAGTTCAAGCAATTTTAGAAACATTGTGAAATAACCAGTCAGAGGCATTCTCTTAATTTACAAAATGAGATCACTTTTTCCAAAATTTCTATCTTTTTTTTAATAAAGTAGTCTCCAATAATTCACAAAATAGTCATCTATACTATTAAGGACCTTTGTGAGATTTTAATTAAGATTTAAGCTAATATTGCAGTTAATCCACTCTGCACACACAGTTAATGCCAGATTCTCCAATGATTTGACATATATATTTTACTTCCATTAGTATAGAAATAGCAAACATCTTAAAGGATACAAAAATTGGAGGAAATTAAAGCAATGTGAAGAATAAAAGATCTTAACCTCTCCTAAATTTACCATTTTAATGCAGTCCAAGTTAAAGTCAAAGATGATTTAAGTTACACAATCTATAAATATTTTAAAACAAAGAATTTTCAAACATATAGATACCCCTTTTAATAAAGAAAAATTATAATAACACGATAAAACAAATTAAACTTTATCTGAAAAAATAATAAAAACTAACGTTTGGAAAAGATAAATGAATTGTGGTCAATATTAAGGCAAGAATGTGGTTGTTGTGGTAATAAACAAGATATGTAAAAACAACATGAAGCTATTAACAATTAAAGGGAGTACTCTGAATAAAATAAGGTCATTATGCCAATCAGTCCAGTATTAATTAGAACGCCACTTCTAGTGGTTACTTGGAGGATGATCTGATGCAAGAGATAAGGAAGACCAAATGGCTCAAGACCTAAAAACTGAAACCTCAAATGGTTTAAGTTTAGTGAGGAATAAATCTCAGCGATTATATTCAACAAACACTTTAGATGAATGAGGTGACCAGGACTAAGACTTGTTTAGAAAACTTGCCATGCATGAAGCTACATATTCCTTTACAGTGGATGCATTTATGAGAAATAGTGGGAGGATGAAAAAGTTTAGTAATAAATTCCCACTTGTTCTAAAGAGTATAAAAATTTTCTGTGTCATCAATTTGAAGACTACAACCCATTTACAAGTAAGAACATTTTACAAATTTGTATGACATAAATGGCATAGGTGATAAATAATATCCAATTTTCAAATAATTATTTATGAGAGTGTTTCATTCAGCTACAAAATTACATCTGATCATTTATCTCACACTAAAACAAATTTCTTTCTTCTCCACATATTTCATAAATTGGATACTTTGTCTAAAATAATTTTACTCAAATAATTGCACCCATATACATTGTAATTTATACTTAACTCACAGGCTGAGTTTGGTCACAAAGAGAGAGAAGAGTTAAAAGGGGAACACAAAATATATTAGATCAAATCATTAAATTTTTTCACTCAGTTTTTTAAGTTTTCTACGGTATGAGCATATTGACTTATGAAATATGTATTTATATTTCTAAATTGCTTAACAAATGTATTAATAAATGTTGTAATAAAAGATCAAGTTTTGGAAATGTATGCCTTTTTTCTACCAATCTCAGAAAAAGTTTAGGAGATTCTAGTTGATGTTAGGTATTATAATACATGCACAATATCTTAAGCAAAGCATCTGGGTTGGTATCTAAGTCGTCAATGAGAAGAGGGCTGCATAATGTTGGGTAAGTACAGTAGTACCCACTTATCTGCAGGGGATACATTTCAAGCCCCTCAGTGGATGCCTGAAACCACAGATAATACCAAATCCTACATATACTATGTTTTTCCCTATACATAAATAACTATAATAAAGTTTAACTTATAAATTAGGCACAGTAAGAGATTAACAAAAATAATAATAAAATAGAACAATTTTTAACAGTGTGCTGTAATAAGTCATGTGAATATGGTTTCTCCCTCTCTCTTTCAAAATAGCTTCATATTTTCGATCATGGTTGACCAGGTGAAGTGAAACCATGGATAAGGGGAGACTATTGAATGTGAGAAGAATTTATGGAGGACTTTAAATCAAGTCAGAAAAAATGAATCAGTTCTTTCCATGCAAACTGAAGTAAAGGTAACCATAAAGTCTTTTTTTCATCAGACATGTTTGTGATGAAATTAGTGCTGATAATCAGTTGCTCTGATGATGGAATGCAGATGCCACTGGAAAAAGTAAAAAGTTGGAGTTGAAGAAGTCAACTACGCTCTATGCTGACCTATACATTAGCCTCTAGTCACACATAGCTACTGAGGACTGTAAATGCCGTTATTCTCACTTGAGATGTGCTGTAAGTGTTAAATACAAACTAGATTTCAAACATTAGAACCAAAAAAAGTAAAATATCTTAATACTTTCATTTTTGAAAGTATTTTTAAATGCTAATACGTTTGATAAATTGGTATAAATAAAATATATTAAAATTAATTGTGCCTTTTTACTTTTAAGTGTCTATTAGACAATTTTAAGTTATATATGTTGTTTATATTACATTTCTAATAAGCAGCTAGAAGTTTATTGCAAAGTTGCATCAGTGAAATGAAAAAATTGTGAACTAGCATAGTAACTGTACAAACAAAGCAAAATAGAAAAATATGCTACAAAAGAAATTGAATAGTTCAACATATAAGAAAACAGAAAATAACTTCAAGGATTTTACATTCTGTGATTAGTTTTACAACTGGCAGAAAGAAGTTCATGGGTAGAAAATTGTTGAGAAGAAAATATTAGAATATTTCGTTTTAGACATGCTGAGTCGAAGATGGTAGTAGAATATGCAAAAGGAAACAAGACAAATACAAAAGATAAAGGCACTGAATATAGCAAAAAGGATGTCATGCATATGCTGAGTAAACAATTTCGGTAAAATTATGAGGACAAAAGCATGATTGTAAAGGGCAAGGAATAAAAAGTAAAAATAAATAAATAAATAAATAAATAAATAAATAAATAAATGCAATGGAGTACAGACTACTCTTTTAAAAGACTCAGGTAATGAAAAATGAGAAACAGGGTATATACCCAGTAACGGGATTGCTGGGTCAAGTGGTATTTCTGCCTAGACCTTCAAACTCTAGGTCCTTTAGGAACCACCATGCTTTCTTCCACAATGGTTGAACTAATTTACACTCCCACCAACAGTGTAGAAATGTTCTTTTTCCTCCTCAATCTTGCCAGCATTTGTTGTTTTTTGACTTTTTAATAAGAGTCATTCTGACCGGTGTCAAATGACATCTTATAGTTTTGATTTGTGTTTCTCTAATTATCAGTGATGTTGAGATTTTTTTCATATGCTAGTTGGCCACATGTATGTCTTCTTTTGAGAGGTGTCTGTTCATGTCATTTGCCCATTTTTTAAGGAGTTGTTCGAGGTTTTTTTCTCGTAAACTTCTTTAAGTTCCTTGCAGACTCTGGATATTAGACCTATGTCAGATGGATAGACTGCAAAAATTTTCTCTCATGCTGTTGGTTTTCTGTTCACTCTAATGATAACTTATTTTGCTGTGCTGAAGCTTTTTAGTTTAATCACATCCCATTTGTCAATTGTTGCTTTTGTTGCTATTGTTTTTGGCATTTTCATCATGAAATCTTTGCCCATGCCTATGCCCTGTATGGTACTGTCTAGAGTTTCTTCAAGGGTTTTTTATAGTTCTAGGTTTTACATTAAGTCTTTACTCCATCTTGAGTTAATTTTTGTATATGGTGTAAGGAGAAGAGTTTCTGTGTGTCAGGCACCCAAGTCCTTCAAACTCTATAATAGAAGTAGGAACAACCATAGAGAAATAAGTGATCATTTCAGCAATGCTTCAAACAAGTGGAATGAATAAAGACCACAAACAGTCCCCTAGCCTTTTAGGGGAAGTACAGGCAGGTAGCGTGGCTGAAGCAAGGAATAAGAGCATAGTGAGAGCACTGGATTGAGAAGCAGGCAGGAATCAGACCACAGAGTGACTCAGCCACAGTGAAAACTAGTTTGAACCTCATCCTCAGAATCAAGGGGAGCCATTAAAGAGTTTTAGCCAAATAATGACATGATCATACCTGCACATTTTTAGTGACTTTGCCCGTAGACTGCAGGATAGACTGGAGGAGACAGAAAGCAGAAATACTAGTTAAACTATTGCAATCAACCTCAAGAAAGATAATGAAGAACTTAATTTGCCTTTGAAGGAGTTTCCCCATCAGAGCTTCATCAGCTTGCAGTGGCTCTAGTGGCTCAATTGTGGCCACTCCCTTATTCTCCATGAGTCAAAAGGCTGCAAAAAAAAAAAAAAAAGAAAGAAAGAAAGAAAAAGAAAAAAAAAGGTTTTGAATATGTAAAGAAACTGAACCATGGAGTGACCCCGTGCCATACCAAATTAGCCTCTATGAGCCAGATTCTTAAACTTCTTTGGAGAATCTGATGAAACAAGAATGCACAGATATAAGTCATTTTGAAAATAGTTTTAGGTAGACCCATAAGCCTACTCATGCCTTCAATTTAATCCAATAACTATATATTAAGTTCTGTATGACTGTAACTTATAGCATAGGATGGGAAAGGGTTAATGAAAAATGAATAGGAGATTGGACAGATACTTCTAATGAATGCTAAGAAGTTTGGACTTTGGCCTAAGTAAAGTGAGAGGCACTAAAGCATTTTAAGGAGAAGAATAACATGGTCAGATTTTCATTTTACAATATAGCAAATTGATTGGAACTGGGAAACCTAGAGACAGATAATCAATTAGAATATTTTTTTCCATAAACCAAGAGAGAGAAGACAGCTGTCTAGCCTAAGTTCATGGCAATGAAGATAAAGGAATATGTACATTCTGGAAATGTTTAGGAGGTCGAATTAGCAAGACTTTGTGACTAATGGGAAGTAAAGTCAAAGAAGTGGAAGATGATAGCCAGATGTCTGATTTGGTGAGAGGAATGAATGCCTTCAGCAAAACAGGAAGTGGAGGAGTGGAGCAGGTTGGGAGTTAAGGAAAGAAGGTTGAACTCCATTATGATTATGCTGGGTTTTTAATGCCTAAGAAACATCAAAAGGAAAGATCTCTCAGGCAACCCAGCATTGGAGTCAAATGTTTATGAGAGTTCTGGATTGAAGAAAACTAGAAACTATTTTGACAAAGCATGGAGATGGTAACTGAGGCCATTGGAGTGAGTGAGGTCACCCAGAAGAGTGGGTAGAGCTGGAAGAGAAAGAAGCCTAAGAAAGAACATTTAAGGATGGGCAGAAGAAAGGGAAAAGGAAACAAAGAATAAGCAACCAGATAGAAAGAAAACCAACCCAATGTGTTACCAAGAAAATGAAGTATTTTGGGCAGGGCACGGTGGCTCATGTCTGTAATCTCAGCACTTTGGGAAGCCAAGGCTGGAGGATCACGAGGTCCGGAGATCGAGACCCTCCTGGCTAACATGGTGAAACCCCATCTCTACTAAAAATACAAAAAATTAGCCGGGTGTGGTGGTGGGCGCCTGTAGTCCCAGCTACTCTGGAGGCTGAAGCAGGAGAATGGCGTGAACCCAGGAGGCGGAGCTTGCAGTGGGCCGAGATCACGCCACTGCACTCCAGCCTGGGCGACAGAGCGAGACTCCGTCTCAAAAAAAAAAAAAAAAAAAAAAAGAAAAGAAAAGAAAATGAAGTATTTTGAAAATTGGGAAGTAGTTCCAGTGTCAAATTCTGCTAAAAGGTAAGTAAATAGAGATTGAAAATGTCCATTGAACTTTAATTACAGATATATTAGATATATGAGGTTTTCCTACAGTTCACTGATTTACTGCTTTTTTTTTTATTCTCTCTTTTCTTTGTTTCTGTTTTAATCATGTCAATTGCTATGGCTTCAAGTTCACTAACCTTTTCTTCTGAAATGCCTAACTCATTGTTAATGTTATCTGTGATAGGTTATTTTGTGTGTCAACTTTAGGCTATGCCCAGTTGCTTGGTCAGACAGCACCTTGAATGCTCCTGTGAAGGTACTTTTTAGGTGTGTTAACATTTAAATTGGCAGACATTGAGTAAAGCAGATTATATTCCATAACATGGGTGGGCCTCATCCAATCCGCTGAAAGCACTAAGAGAAAAGACTGAGGTCCTCCGTGGAGAAAGGAATTCTATCTACAGGCTGACTTTGTACTCAAGACTGAAACACTAACTCCTGCTAGAATTTCTAGCCTACTGGTCTGCCCTGCAAATTTCAGACTTGCTAGTCCCCACAATTGCACGAACCAATTCCTTAAAATAAATATCTCCCTCCCCTCTATGTGTTTGTGTATACCTTTCATCTATATGTGTGTATATACACACACGGGGGGAGAGATTTATTTTATGGAATCGGTATACATACACACACACACATAAATGTACATCACATCTATGCATCCTATATATACACACATATTACATACATACATTTGTGTGTGTGTGTGTGTGTGTATCCTATTGACGTTGTTTTTCTGAAGAATCCTGACTCGTACACTATCCATTGTATTTTTCATCTCAGACACTGTTGCTTTCATCTCTGAGAATTTCCATTCAGTTATTTTCTATACCTTTCATCTACGTAACTTTTTGAACATATAAAATACAGTTATAATCATCGTTTTAATGTCCTTGTCTGGTAGTTATAACATCTATATCAGTTCTGGATTTGTTTAATTGAACTCCTTTTAGGTATTTTTTACCTGCTGTTTTGCATGCCTTATAATCTTTTCTTAAATTAATACATAATATTTGCACATATTTATGGGGTACATGTGATATTTTGTTACATGTATAGAATGTGTAAAAATCAAGTCAGGGTATTTAGGATATCCATCACCTCAAGTACTTATCATTTCTATACATTGGGAACATTTCAAGTCCTCTCATCTAGCTATTTTGAAATATACAATACATTGTTGTTAACTAGAGTCGGCCATTCCGCTATCAAACATTATAACTTATACCTCCTATCTAAGTGTTGTCCAGAGAACAAAGTCAGAGCCAATGCAAGTCTCCCACATTTAGTCTTGAGACCTGAGTGTTGGCCCCCTAAAATCTTCAAGAAATGAAGCTAGTTGGCTGAAACCACCTTATACCACAATCAAGCCCTCAAAGTCATCAAATAGAATAAAAGAAAAAAAAACCCACCCAAAGGTCACCAGCCTCAAAGATTAAAGGAATATAAGCCCACAAAGATGAGAAAGAACCAGGGCAACAAGACTGACAAATCAAAAAGCCAGAGTGCCCTCTGTCTTGCAAATGACCACATCACCTCTCCAGTTCTGAACCAGGCTGAGATGGCTGAAATGAAAAAAAATAGAATTCAGAATAGGTATAGACACAAAGATCATTGAGCTACAGGTATATGTTGAAACCTAATCTCCTGGTTCTGAACCAGGCTGAGATGGCTGAAATGAAAAAAATAGAATTCAGAATATGTATAGGAACAAAGATCATTGAGCTACAGGTATATGTTGAAACCTAATCCAAGGAAGCTAAGAATCATGACAAAACAATGCAGGAGCTGACATAGAAAAAATAGCCAGGATAGAAAAGAATGTAACTGACCTGATAGAGACGAAAAACATGCTACATGAATACTTGTGATTACATTGTACTTGTGATTGCACTCCATAATGCAATCACATTTCATAATGTAATCACACATATTTCACAATGTAATCACAAGTATTAATAGCAGAATAAACCAAATGGAGGGAAAGATCAAGAATAGACCAAATGGAAGAAAGAATCTCAGAGTTTGAAGACTGGCTTTTTGAAATAAGACAGTCAGACAAAACAGAGGAAAAAAATGAAAAGGAATGAATAAAACCTCTGAGAAATACAGGATTATGTAAAGAGACCAAATCTATGACTCACTGGTGTCCCTGAAAGAGATGGGGAGAATGGAACCAACTTAGAAAACATATTTCATGATATCATCCATGAGAACTTCGCCAACCTAGCTAGAGAGTCCAGCATTCAAATTCAGGAAATAGAGAAAATCTTAGTATGATACGTCACAAGAAAATCATCCCCAAGACACATAATCACCAGATTCTCCAAGATCGAAATGAAAGAAAAAATATTAAAGGCAGCTAGAAAGAAATGTTAAAGGCAGCCAGATTTATAAGGCAAGTCAAGTCTCTGACCTTTCTCTCTAGCTGCATTTAACATTTTTCTTTTTCCTACAAAGGGAAGTCTATCAAACTAACAGCAAGACTTCTCAGCAGAAATCCTACAAGCCAGAAGAGACTGGGGTCAATATTCAACATTCCTGAAGAAAGGAAATTTCAACCCAGAATTTTATATCCAGCCAAACTAAGCTTCATAAGCAAAGGAGAAATAATATTCTTTTTAGACTAGCAAATGCTGAGGGAATTCATTACCAACAGACCTTCCCTATAAGAGCTCCTGAAGGAAGCACTAAATATGAAAAGGAAAGACTATCCACTACAAAACACACTGAAGTACACACAGCAGTGACATTATAAAGTGACCACCAAACAAGTCCACAAAATAACCATCTAACATCATGATAACAGGATCAAATCCACACATAACAGTACTAACATTGAATGTTAATAGGCTAAATGCCCCAATTAAAAGACACAGAGTGGCAAGCTGGATAAAGAACCAAGACTCATTGGTATGCTGTCTTCCAGATACCCATCTCACATGCAATGACACTCATAGGGCTGGAGGAAAATCTACCCAGAAAATGGAAAACAGAAAAAAGCAGGGGTTGCAATCCTAGTTTCAGACAAAACAGATGTTAAACCAATAAGGATCAAAAAAGACAAAAAAGGGCATTACATAATGATAAAGGGTTAAATTCAACAAGAAGATCTAACTATCCTAAATATATATGCACCCAACACAGAAGCACCCAGATTCATAATCAAGTTCTTGGCTTCAAAGAGACTTAGACTCCCACACAATAATAGTGAGAGACTTAAACACCTCACTGAGAGTATTACACAAATCACTAAGACAGATAAGTAATAAAAATATTCAGGACCTGAACTCAGCCCTGAATCAAATGGACCTGATAGACACCTCAAAACTCTCCACCCAAAAGCGACAGAATATAGATTCTTCTCACTGCCACATGGCACATACTCTAAAATTGATCACATAATCAAATGCAAAACATTCCTCAGCAAATGCAAAAGAACTGAAATCATAACAGCAACTCTCTCAGACCACAACACAATCAAATTAGAAATCAAGACTAAGAAATTGACTCAAAACCATACAGTTACATTAAAATTTAATAACCTGCTCCTGGATTACTTTTGGGTAAATAATGAAATTAAGACAGAAATCAAGAAGTTATTTGAAATGAATGAGAACAAAGATACAACATACCAAAATCTCTAGACACAGCTAAGGCAGTGTTAAGAGGGAAATTTATAGCACTAAATGCCCACATCAAAGTGTTAGAAATATCTCAATTTAACAACCTAGTATCACAACTAAAAGAACTAGCAAGCCAAGAGAAAACAAATTCAAAAGATAGCAGAAGGCACCAAATAATCAAAGTCAGAGCTGAACTGAAGGAGATTGAGATACAAAAAATCATTCAAAAGATCAATGAATCCAGGAGTTGGGTTTTTAAAAAAATATTAATAAAATAGACCACCAGTTAGACTAATAAAGAAGAAACACAATAAGATTCAAATAAACACAATTAGACAAAGGGGATATTACCACTGGCCCCACAGAAATACAAATAATCATCAGAGAATATTATGAATACCTCTATGCACATAAAATAGAAAATCAAGAAGAAATTGATAAATTACTGGACACATACACCTTCCCAAGACTGAACCAGTAAGAAACTGAATCCCTGAACAAATCAATAACCAGCTCTAAAGTTGAGTCAGTAATAAATAATCTACCAACCAAAAAAGCTCAAGACCACACAGATTCACAGCTGAATTCTCCCAGATGTACAAAGAAGAGCTGGTACCATTCCTGCTGAAACCATTCCAAAAGATTAAAGAAAAGGGACTCCTCCTTAACTCATTCTATGAGGCCAGCATCATCCTAATACCAAAACCCGGCAGAGCACAGCTCTTAGAAAACTTCAAGCCAATATTCTTGATGAACACTGATGCAAAAATCCTCAAGATATAACTGGCAATTTAAATCCTGCAGCACAACAAAAGGTTTATCCACCCTGATCAAGTAGGCTATATCCCTGGGATCCAAGATTGGTTCAACATATGCAAATCAATAAGTGTGACTCATCACAAAAAAGACCTAAGGATAAAAACCACATGATTATCTCAATAGATGCAGAAAAGGCTTCAAAAAAATTCAGCATTGCTTCATGTTAAAAACTCTCAATGAACTAGGTATTGAATGAACATACCTCAAAATAATAAGAGCCATCTATGACAAACCCACAGCCAACATTTTACTGAATGGGCAAAAACTGAAAGTATTCCTCTTGAAAACTGGCACAATACAAGGATGCTGTCTCTCACAGCTCCTATTCAACATGGTATTGGAAGTCCTAGCCAGCAAAATCAGGCAAGAGAAAGGCCATCCAAATAGGAAGAGAAGAAGTCAACTATCTCTGTTTGCAGATAACATGATTCTCTGTATAGAAAACCAAATTAGTCTGGACCCAAAAGCTCCTTAAGCTGATAAACCACTTCAGCAAAGTCATAGGATATAAAATCAATGTATAAAAATAACTAGCACTCCTATACACCAACAACAATCAAACCAACAGCCAAATCAAGAACACAATCCCATTCACAACTGCCACATACACACACACACACACACACACACACACCCCTAGGAATACAGCTAACCAGGGAAGTGAAAGATCTCTACAATGAGAACTACAATACACTGTTCAAAGAAATCAGAGATGACACAAACAAATGGAAAAAATTCCATTCTCATGGATAGGAAGAATCAACATTGTTAAAGTGGTTATTCTACCCAAAGCAATTTATAGAGTTAATGTTATTCCTATTAAACTACCATTGAGATTCTTCACAGAACTAGAAAAAACTATTTAAAAATTCATATGGAACCAAGAAAGAGCCTGAATAGCCAAAGAAATTCTAAGCAAAAAGAACAAGCCTGGAGGCATCACATTACCTGACTTCAAACTATACTACAGGGCTACAGTAACCAAAATACCATGGTTCTGGTACAAAATCAGACACATAGACCAGTGGAAAAGAATAGAGGATCCAGAAATAAGGCTGCACACCTACAACTATCTGACCTTCGACATAGCTGACAAAAACAAGCAATGGGGAAAAGACTCCCTATTCAATAAATGATGCTGGGATAACTGGCTAACCATATGCAGAAGACTGAAATTAACTCCTTCATACACCATATACAAAAATCAATTGAAGATGAATTAAAGATTTCCATTTAAAACCTAAAACTATAAAAACCCTGGAAGACAATCTAGACAATACCATTCTGAACACAGGCATAGACAAAGATTTCATGTCGAAGACCCAAAAGCATTGAAACAAAAACAAAAATTGACAAATGGGATCTATTTAAACTAAAGAGCTTCTGCACAACAAAAGAAACTATCAACAGAGTGAACACATGACCTATAAAATGGGAGAAAATTTTTGCAAACTAGGCATCTGACAAAGATCTAATATCTAGCATCTATAAAGAACTTAAACAGATTTTTAAGAAACAAACAACCCCATTAAAAAGTGGGCAAAGGATACGAATAGACACTTTGCAAAAGAAGACATACATGTGGCCTACAAGCATATGATAAAAACGCTCAACATCACTGAGCATTAGAAAAACACGAATGAAAACCACAATGGAATACCAGCTCACACCAGTCAGAGTCAGAATGGCTATTATTAAAAAGTAAAAAAATAACAGAAGCTGGCAAGGTTGGGAAGAAAAAGGAATGCTTATACACTGTTTGTGGGAGTGTAAGTTAGTTTAGCCATTGTGGAAGACAGTGTGGAATTCCTTGAAGACCTAAAAACAGAACTACAATTCAACCCAGCAATCCCATTACTGAGTATATACCCAAAAGAATATAAATCATTATATCATAACAACACATGCATGCATATATGTTCATTGCAGCACTATTCACAGTAGCAAAGACATGGAATTAACCTAAATGCCCATCAATGATAGACTGGATAAAGAAAATGTGGTCCATATACACCATGGAATACTAGGCAGCCATAAAAAAGAACAAGATCATGTCCTTTGCAGAGACATGGATGCAGCTGGAGGCCATTATCCTTAGCAAACTTATACAGGAACAGAAAACCAAATGCTACATGCTCTCACTTATAAGTAGGAGCAAAATGATGAGAACACATGGACACACAGAGAGGAACAGCACACACTGAGGCCTATCAGAGGATGGAGGGTGGGAGGATCAAGAAAAATAACTAATGGGTACTGGGCTTAATACCTGGGTGATGAAATAATCTGAACAACAAACTCCCATGACACAAGCTTACCTATATAACAAACCTGCACACATACCCTTGAACTTAAAATAAAACTTAAATTTAAAAAAAGAGGAGGGAGGGAAGGGAGAAAAAAGGAAGGAAAGAAGGAAAATAAGACAAAAGGAGGAAATAAGTATAGCACCTTCAAATTCTTAAAAATAATTATGTATATAAGTATCATTATATGATTAAATAGAGATTTATGAATAATAAATATTTTAAAACATTTTCCTCTAATTCAGAATGACTTTTTGACCATCTAGCACTTGATTCTCTCAGACAAGCACTTAGCTTTGGGTTAAGAGTTTTTCACTGCAACCAGAGCTGGAATACCAGATAGGCACTTGCAATGGATTTTGCAATTAAGCTCATGAAAGGGGGTCAAAGGCAATATTCACAATGAGAGTGGCAAACAAGGATGGATGAGGAGTGTAACAAACAACAAACATAGCCGAAGCACACAGCCAAATTGACACAGTGAACTGGTCAAAAGCTAACGTGGAAACAAAACCCAAATCTGGGCTCACAGGCAACACGAGGGCTCAGTCAGGCATGAAGGAAGCATGGGCTAAGGACTTGTAGGAATATGGGCAGGCCTGGTCTTCCTTCCTCCCTTTGTAAGAAAAAATGATCTTTCCCCTGGCTGTGGAGAAATTCTGCTTGAATGGCAGGCATGGGTTACTTGGATATTGTGAGCCTAGGATCTAGTTGCTGGTCAACCTCCTTTAGACAGATAATTCAAATCCTCTACATTTAATCATTAATGTTATGTTTATTCACATCTTAATGTAAAGAAAAAAAGTTCAAAGCTATTAAAATGCTGAGTAGCTCTCCAAATTCCCAATATGAGTCAAAGTTGAACCAGAGCATAAGATCAATTTCCTCACTCTTAACATCATTACATCTGCCTGTTACGCTACTTCTCATCAAAATAATTTAAAGTTACTCTTTTTCCCCTAATGCTATGCCCCAATGATGCCACATAAATCTCAAAGTAATATTAGAGTTATATTTATTTTCAGAACATAAAGGCAATCTCTAGTTGATAGGGAATAGAAAAACAATATTAAATGAAGAATTTTTTTAAAAAACCCTTATTTTAAAGAAATAGTCCTACATATTACTTTATATCAGAACAATGTATGTATTTTTAAAATGTGAGCTCTTAGGAACAATATCTGGCTCCCTGCGTAGACACAAATGTGTATATAAGTCACAGCATAAAGGTTAACACTGTAGGCTTTAAAGTCAAACACACAAATATTTTAATCACAACTCCGACAAACCACGTGATCTTGGGCTAGTGATAACTTCTTACATCATAGTTTCCTCATCCATAAAGTAGGGATAATAACAGTAATCCTCTCAGAGAGCTGTTCTGAGGATTAAACAAAAAATGCACTAAAGGCTTAGCACAATTCTTAGCACAGAGTTAGTGCTCAATTAATGTGTGCTAATAATAATAATAATAATAATAACAGTCCTCAGATTTATGGCAGGAGCTCACCAGAGGGAGCCTAAGACTCCCCCCTGGGCTCTTGGGTTATACCGGTATCCATGACGTGAAACTTATGTCATATTTGAAAGTATGTCAGGGAGGATGGCGTGCCTCCCAGTGTTTTCAGGAGCACTGGTGTTACACCACACACACAGCTCTGAAAATCTAAGTAGATTTCAAAGTTGCTTAAATAGCTTTCTTGTCCAAGAGTCATGCAAGTCGCCAACTGGCAATGGAGTGATTTTCCACTCAAACTTGGCAGCAGCAGGATTTAAACCGAAAACTGGGAGGAGGGCAAAGGAAGTAATATGCTTCCTTCCTCAGAGTAGTTTTAGACTCTTTGGCACCACAGAGAAAAATTGTAAAGAGAGAAATTTTGTGTGAGGACTACAGTATTTTTTTATTAAAAATAAATTGAAAAGAAATTGCTAGCCACCATCATAAAAATGTCCTTTCTACCATTTATTTTCATATTCTGTGAACTCTTTTTTAGAAGATGTCAGAATTTCATTTGGATGCTCTCATTCAATAACCATCTGCTTAAGAAAACTTTTATCTAATATAAATTCCTCCTGTTAGGGTCTGTAACAATTTCCTTATGTTTATTTGTAAAAATAGAGCACTATTATTTGGGCCATAGGGGGAATGTACTTATAGTTCAGTGATTCCTACTGATATATTTAGAACAAAGATGTCATAATACCAGCAAAAACAAACAAATTCATTAGTTATGACAGAGAGAGAATAGCTAGTAAGCATATTCTATAATATTCCCCTGTGTAATTTTTAGCAGTTAGTGCTCCTCAAAAAAAAGTCTGTAAGAAAACTTATTTGGTTTCTAATGATGACATTCATTTACTATAAGATACCTCAGCTCAGAGATGAGTAGTTTATAATTTTTGGCACTATCTGACTGTGAAAGACAGAATAATGCCTCCTCCAAGGATGTTCACATCATAATCCCCAAAAGCTGTGAATATGTTACTGAACAAGACAAAAGGGACTTTGCAGTTGTACTTAAGATGGTGAAATTATTTTGGGTTGAGTACGTTCAGTATAATCACAGGGGTCTTTATAAGAGTGAGGCAGACAGCTCAGTGTCAGAGAGAGGAGAGATAATGACAGAAGCAGAAGTTGGCGTGATGCAAGGAACTAACTGAGCCATGGAATGCAGGTGACCTCTAGAAGCTGAAAAGGCAAGAAACAGATTCTTCCTCGGAGCTTCTAGAAGCAATGGAGCCCTGCTGATGCCTTGATTGTAGGACTTCTGACCTTCAATACTTCTAAGATAATAATTTTGTGGGTTTTAAGCCAATGTGATATAATAAGAAAGATTTCTTCTCTGCACACCACCCCCCTCCCCCGGGGCCTGACACAGAACTCCTAAATCCCTTTGAATTTCCTGTGTGATAGAATAATCTTTTGTTCTAATGAGGAGACTCTTGGTGGGCACCTGGATAGCTCAGGATAGGGGCTGGATGGTAAAGAAACTAACTGTGTGATTAGAGGATTAGAACTTTGAGCCCCACCCCCTGAGCTCTGGGGAGAGGAGAGGGTCGAGTTGATCACCCATGGCCAAGGTGTAATTAATTGTGCCTATATAATGAAGCCTCCATGAAAACCCCAAAAGATAGGGTGTGAAGAGCTTCCCAGTTACTGAACACATAGAGGTGCTGGGAGGGTGGAGCACCAAGAGAGGGCACGGAAGTTCCTATTCCCTTTCCACAAACCTTCCCTATACCTTGCCCTTCCACATACCTTGTCTATTCCATCTGGCTATTCTTCTGTATCTTTTGTAATATCTTTTATAATATAATGGGTAGATGTAAGTAAAGTGCTTCCCTGAGTTCCAAAAGCCACTCTAGCAAATTAATTGAACCTGGGGAGGGATTGTGAGGAAGCTGATTTATAGCCAGTGGTCCAGAAGCATAAGTGACAACCTAGTACTTGAGATTGGCATCTAAAGTTGGGGGCAGTCTTGTGAGACTGAGCCCTTAACATGTGGTATCTGACCCTACCTCCAGGTAGATGGTGTTGGAATTGAATTAATTGAATTATAAGACACCTGTTGGTGTCCTGGAGAATTGCCTGATATATGGGGAAAATTTCTCACATATCTAGAGTTAGAAGTTTTATGGTGTGTGAATAGAATAAAAGTTTTTTTTGTCTGTAGCCTCCAAATTTGTGGTAATTTTTTCATGCTATTGAAACTAATACAGTAACTATGAACTAAATATGCTACTTATTGACTCATGAATATCTATCTAAGCATCAAAAGTAAAAAAAAGTATAAAAGTTTTAGAAATAATCCTCATTTGAAAACATATCTCCTGTATTTTAAATAAACCACAAAATGAGCCCCAGGAATATTTAGATACTTGTAATATAACAATTTTCAAAGTGTGCTTTTTAGTACCCTGGTGTGAATAGGGTGTGAATAGGTATTAACCATGGGTGTGAATAGGTATTAAGCATGAAAAATTCTAAGATGAAATAACATTGAACTGTACTAATTGTGGGATAATCGAAATAATTTTTGAATTAGCTCAGGAATCTAGATTTACAAAGAAACTTTCTGAGATATCCAAAGGATCCCCATATGAAATTAATTCCACTATAAGGGGAAGGCAGAAGATAAACGCATAGTGTAGAATAAAGGTACTAAAAACATTTCTAAATGTCTTTATATATAGTATGTATATATACTATGTACATATACATACAACAAAGTATGGAAGTGTCATTCCAGCCTTAGAAAGCCTTGCTTATCAGCCCTCATCACAATTTCACACTCCTCAGCCCATGCCCATGTGGGCATCTCTGTAGATCCTACTCATAAAGCATATAAGGCTGTCTCAGCACACTCTCAGATGACATAGCTGGTCTTCAGTGTCTGCCACCTGCCACTGATCCCAACCATGAGATATTGCCTACGCTTTTATTTGGAGAAATGACACAAGGAATACCCACCAAAGTGAAAAAAGCATGCTATATATCTCACTTATTTAATCCAGCCCTTTATAATTCACTGAATCTGCTCCTCCATTCCTTATCCAATTTTCTCTAGTAATACGGGGAAAAAAACTTGTCAAGAATATAGTTTTAGTGGATCATCAAACTGAAACACGGCCATTGAAGAAGTTTCAGGCCTACCCTAAAGAACAAGATTACAATACCCCCAAAGTTCCTGGGGCATAGGAAAATGGCTTCAAAGCTTGTCAACAATAGCAGAGTAAAAGCTTAGTCGCCCATTATAATGCCGCATTGGAAATTTTAACAGATTATTTCACTATACGACTAATAAGTACCATAAATTAAGAGAAAAGGAAAACTACACAATGTTTTTCACCCATACATAACCTAGAAACTTTCTTCTCTGAAGCATCTGCAGTACAAAACTTTGAAAACAATTCACTAGTTGCATATGAAATTTCCTACAAATCAGTCAACACCTTCGAAAACTATCATGTGAAAAGAAAATAAAAAGAGTCAACATTCAAAAATTCTATGTAGGCAATTTGAGAACTCATTTTGGTCAAATTGGTAAATTAAAGAAACTTTTTTCTAGATATCAGGGAGAAGGTTTGGGCTCTTCCTGCTGAATAGCTGTAGCCAAGGTAATTGAATTTAGGATAGACAAAGAATGCCCAATTGTCAGGTGCACAATTACATCAGAAATTGAGGTTGTGAGGCCAAGACAGGATCACAGTCAAGGAGATCAACATCTGGCATAAAATTAACACAGTTCATAGAAAGTCAGATCACCCAAAGTCTTCCCTCCTTGCCAATTCAAACAAAAAGCTCAGAAGCTAAAATGATTCCAATTTAGTACCTCAACATAACCCCGAGTCCTAAAAGTTAAAATATAGGGAAAAAATATTTCCAGCAAAATAAATGATACCCTGAAAATATAACTGTCATAATTTTTTAAATCATCTCACAAAGTAGCCATATATACCTAACAAAGGGACAATCATTTATCAGCTGGGAATTCCATAGGCCTTAGACCCAGAATAATTTCCTTACTTATAATCCCCTTATTTGTCCTTAAAAATTGAGGGAGAGAAATCCTTTTGAGAACTTTCCAAAAAATGGCACAGGAATCAACCACTAACTTTTTTCCCCCAACAGAAAATTATCAACTTAACTTCTCTATTGCAAAATATTTTTAAAATAAAAATTTGTCACCCTGAGAAGAAAGGTGTAATTATAAACAGTTTATTTTAATCTGGAAAAGCCTATAAATACCCAAAACTGCACACATGAACAAACAAAACCTAATTAGTATAACATAGTATACCATCTTTTGAAAAGAAACTTTACAGCACATGACAGCCATGTGTGAGCTTATTGTCTTAGATGAGGTTATTATCTGTCTTCTGGTAATCAAAATGGTGTAATTAGTTTTGAAAACAAAAAAGGCATATTTAACTTATATTACTTATATTTTCATGAAATAAACTTTAAATATAATCACAACAATTAATATATTTTCTCATTAAAATTCACACATTCTATCCAGTAGATACAAAAGGACTTCAAAAAGTCTGTGGAAAGTTGAATTAGAGATAAAAATAAAAAGTACAGACTTTACTTCTCAACATAAGTTCCATCAAGTTTAAGACACTTTTGTAAGTGATGATACCAGCAATATAGTCTATCCTTTAAGAACTGAGAGTCCTGAAAACTTAAACATGTCAATGCAGTCTTTCTTTACATTATTAACTAAAGAAAAATGGGTACAATTTTTTAAGATTAGAAAAAAAAGGCAGAAGGAGCCAAATCAGGACTGTAAGGTAGATGCCTAATGATTTCCCATTGAAATTCTCCTGATGAGAGGAATGAACAGGAGTACTGTCATGGTGAAGGATCCTGTGGTGAAGCTTTCCCAGATAAAGCTTTGGCTGTCTTTCTCAAAACACTCATAAACAGATGTTATTTTTCTTTAGCCTTCCAGAAAGTCAACAAGCAAAATGCCTTGACCATTCCCAAATTGCTCTTGATTGGTCTGCTTTTCCTTTGACTGGACCACTTCCACCTCTTGGTAGCCATTGTTTTGATTGTGCTTTGTCTTCAGGATCGTATTGATAAAGTCATGTTTCAACGCCTTTTAGAATTCTTTGAAGAAATGCTCCAGGATCTTGATGTTGTTTAAAATTTGCTATTGTTTAATTATCAGTCTTCTTCCATTAGAGCAAAAACAAGACAAATTTTTTCCTCACAAATTGATGTGGATGGTCTACTGCTGTGGGTTTCATCATCTCATCCCTTAAAATGGTTTATTCATTTGTAAACTGCTGATTTCTTTGAGTTATTGTTCTCATGGCCTTTTCATGAAGCACCAATTATGCCACCATTCTTCTACCCAAGCTTCATCATGAGTTTCATGTTTCTTCCTGAAACAAACATGATTGGGGCTCTTTTCAAACAGATGTCTTACCCTTGGTGCCTCAAGCTAGCTCCTGTTCAGAATGTTATAACAAATTAGTACAGTTTATTTTGTTGCAAAAAAATTTTGAAATCTATACAGTTTTTCATAATACATAATTTTTCATACTACACATTTTCATTAACTTTTTGATGTCCTCTCGTAATTATTGAATATTTTTGTAGATATTTAGCCATGAATGATGAGTTTTTATCTGTTATAAGAGTTATATGTGTTTATCTGTGTTATGTATTATGACTTATTTCATAACTTCATGAAATTAATTCCTCTTATGACAAATATAAAATTACTTGTAGCCAGAAAAATAATATCTTACAGTTATGTATCCCCATAGAGATACATAAAGGGTAGATGAATTTTTTAATCTGAATAGATTTTTTCAATTGTGTATTCTGGCAGGTTTAACATATTTCTATGCAGACTTGGATGGCATGCTTCCTTAAAATATTGAGTTAGTTTATTTTTTTCCCAGGTTTTGGGTAGTACATAATTTGGTCAGGAACTTTGTGATTTTAAAAAAATAAATGATTTCAAAGAGAAAAATCATCCTAATGCAGGCTTTCTTAGTTAAGAGGCTCAAATTTTTCTAACTTCTTATTTTTAATTTTTCTGGGTACATAGTAGGTATATATCTTTATAGGATACATGAAATACTTTGATACAGGCATGCAATAGGTAATAATTAAATCATAGTAAGTAGGGCATCCATCACCTCAACCATTTATCCTTTGTGTTACAGACAATCCAATTATACTGTTTTAGTTATTTTTAAATGTACAATTATTAACTTTAGTTATTTTTAAATGTACAAGGTACCCTGTTGTGCTATCAAATACTAGAACTCATTCATTATTTCTATTTTTTTGTACTCATTAACCATCCCCACTTCTTCCTCACCCAAGAACTACCCTTCCCAGATTAGCAGAGGTAGTCATCCTTCCACTCTATCTTAATGAGTTCACTTATTTTAATTTTTATCTCCCACAAATAAGTGAGAACATGCAATGTTTGTCGTTCTGTCCCTGGTTTATTTCAATTAACATAATGACCCCCAGTTCCTAATATAATGACCCCCAGTTCCATCCATGTTGTTGCAAATAACAGGATCTCATTCTTTTTTATGACTGATTAGTACTCCATTGTGTATATGCACCACATTTTCTTTATCCAGTCATCTGTTGATGGACAGTTAGGTTGCTCCTATCTATTGTGAATAGTGCTGCAATAAACATGAGATGCAGATATCTCTTCAACATACTGATATCCTTTCTTTTGGATATATACCCAGCAGTGTGATTGCAGAATGATATGGTAGCTATAGTTTTAGTTTTTTGAGGAATCTCTAAACTGTTTTCCATAGTAGTTGTACTAATTTACATTCTCACTAACAGCGTATGAGGGTTCCCTTTTCTCCACATCCCTGTCAACATTTGTAACTGCCTGTCTTTTGAATATAAGCCATTTTAACTGAGGTAAGATGACATCTCATTGTAGTCTTGATTTGCATTTTTCTAATGAACAATGATACTGAGCACCTCTTCAAATGCCTCTTTGCCATTTCTATGTCTTCTCTGGAGAAATGTCTATTCAGATCTTTTGCCCATTTTTAATCAGATTACTACCTTTTTTCCTATAGAGTTGTTTCAGTGTCTTATATATTCTGGTTATTAATCTTTTGTCAGATAGTTTGCAAATATTTTCTCCCATTCTGTAGATTGTCTCTTCTCTCTGCTGACTGTTTCCTTTGCTGTCCAGGTTTTTAACTTGATGTGTTCCCTTTTGTCCATTTTTGCTTTGATTATTTGTGGGGTATTACTCAAGAAATCTTTGCCCAGACTAATGTCCTGGAGAGTTTCCCCAATGTTTTCTTATGGTAATTTCATAGTTAAAGGTCTTAAATTTAAGTCTTCAATCCATTTTATTTGATTTTGTGTATCGTGAGAGGTAGGGGTCCAGTTTCATTCTTCTGCATATGGATATCCAGTATTCCCAGCACCATTTATTGAAGACATTTTCTTTTCCCCAGCTTATGTTTTTGGCACCTTTGTCAAAAAGAGTTCCCTGAAGATGTCTGGATTTGTTTCTGGGTTCTCTATTCTGTTCTATTGGTCTTTGTGTCAGTTTTTATGCCAGTACCATGTTGTTTTGGTTACTATAGCTCAGGAGGAATGTGATTTCTCCAGTTTTGTTCTTTTTGCTCAGGATACCTTAGACTATTCTGGGTCTCTTGTGGTTTCATATAAATTTAAGGATTTTTTTTTTCTATTTCTATGAAGAATGTCATTGGTATTTTGATAGGGATTACATCGAATCTATAGATTGCTCTGGGTAGTAGAGACATTCTACCAACATTGATGGTTCCAATCTATGAACATAAAATATCTTTCCATTTCTGTGTGTCCTCTTCCATTTCTTTTATCAGTATTTTATAGTTTCCACTATACAGATCTTTCACTTCTTTTGTTAAGTTACTTTCTAGGTATTTAATTTTATTTGTGGCTATTGTAAATGAGATTATTTCTTTTACAGATTATTCACTGTTGGCATATAAAAATACTACTGATTTTTATAGGTTAATTTTGTATCCCGCAAGTTTATTGAATTTGTTTATCACTTCTAATGTGTTTTTTTTTCTTTTGGTGCAGTATTTAGGTTTTTCCAAATAGATCATATCATCTGCAAGCAAGAATAATTTGATTTTGTTCTTTCCAATTTGGAT
Source organism: Homo sapiens (assembly GCF_000001405.40). Lineage (NCBI taxonomy): Eukaryota > Metazoa > Chordata > Mammalia > Primates > Hominidae > Homo > Homo sapiens. The sequence continues at coordinate 97,258,775 of NC_000005.10, read as the reverse complement.
GCCTTTTATTTCTTTCTCTCATCTGATTTCTGTAGCTAGAACTTCCAGTATTATGCTGAATAAGAGTGATAAAAGTGGGCATTCTTGTCATGTTTCACAACTTAGAGGAAAGGCTTTCAGTTTTTCCCAACTCAGTATGATACTAGCTGAGAGTCTGTCATTTAAGGCTGTTATTATGTTGAGGTATGTTCCTTCTATTCTGCTTTTGAGGATTTTAATCATGAAGGGATGTTGAATTTTATCAAATGCTTTTTCTGCATCAATTGAAATGATCATATGGGTTTTATCCTTCATTCTGTTAAAATGATATGTCACATCAATGGATTTGCATGAGTTGAACCATATTTGCATCCCTAGGGAAAATCCCACTTGGACTTACTGAATAATATTTTCAATGTATGGTTGAATTCAGTTTGCTAGTATTTTGTTGCAGATTTTTGTATCAATATTCATCACGGATATTGGCCCACAGTTTTCTTCTTTTGATGCATCTTTGTCTGGTTTTGGTATCAGGGTAATACCTCTACTGACCTTGTAGAATGGGTTTGGATGGATTCCCTCCCTCCTCTATTTTCTGGAGTAGTTTGAGTAGGATTGATATTAGTTCTATGTTAAATATTTGGTAGAATTCATCAGTGAAGCCATGGGGTCCCATGCTTTTATTTCCTGGGAGACTTTTTATTACAGCTTCGCTCTAATTACTTGTTATTGGTCTGTTTGGGTTTTGAATTTATCCATGGTTCAATCTTGGTAGGCTACATATGTCTAGAAATTTACCCAGATTCCCTAGCTTTTCCAATTTATTGGAATATAGTTGCTCATAGTGACCTCTAAATGATTCTTTGACTTTCCGCAGTATCACTTAAAATGTCTCCTTTATCATATCTGATTTTATTTATTCAGGTCTTCTTTATTTTTTTTCTTAGTCTGCCTAAAGGTTTGTCAATTTTATTTTTTCAAAAAGCAACTTTTCCTTTCATTGATCTTTTGTATTATTTTCTTCATTTATTTCTGCCCTGATCTTTATATTTCTTATCTTCTTCTATTAATTTGGGGTTCAGTTTTCTCTTGCTTTTCTATTTCTCAGGATGTATCATTAGGTTATTTATTTGAGGTTTTTCTTCTTTTTTGATGTAGGAACTTGTGCCTATAAATTTCCATGTTAATACTGCTTTCACTGTATCCCATAGGTTTGGGTATGTTGTGTTTTCATTATTTCTTTCAAGAAATTTTTCAATTTTCTTTTTAATTTCTTCATTGGCCAACTGGTCATTCAGTAGCATATTGTTTAATTTCCATGTGTTTGAATAGTTTCCAAAATTTCTCATGTTATTAATTTCTAGTTTTATTCCATTGTGGTCAGAGGAGATGTTTGATATTATTCAATTCTTTTGAATGTTTGAAGATTTGTTTTGGGACTTAACATATATTCTATCCTTGAGAATTATTCATATGCTGAGGAGAAGAATGTGTATTCTGCAGCAATTGGATGAAATGTTATGTATATATCTATTAGGTCCATTTGATCTATAGTGCAGATTATGTCTGATGTTTCTTTGTTGTGTTTTTTTTCAGAGATCTGTCTAATGCTGAAAGTGGGGTGTTGAGGTTTCCAGCTATTATTGTATTGAAGTATCTCTCTCTCTTTAGCTCTAATATTTGACTTATATATCTGGATGTTCCGCATATGTATATTGGCTGCATATATATATTTGTAATTGTCATATCTTCTTGCTGAATTGACCCTTTTATATAATGACCTTCTTTGTCTCTCCTTAGAGTTTCTGTCTTGAAATCTATTTTTTTTGTTGTTTCTATTGGCATGGAATATCTTTTTCCATCCCTTTATTTTCAGTGTATGTGTATCTTGATTGGTGAAGTGTGCTTCTTGTAGGCAACAGATCAATGGGTTTTATTATCCATTCAACCACCCTATGTCTTTTGGTTGGAGAGATTAGTCCACTTATATTCAATGTAATTATTGATGAGTAAGGACTTACTCCTTCCACTTTATTACTTGTTTTCTGCGAGTTTTGTGGTCTTCTCTTCCTTCTTTCCTTCCTTCCTATCTTCCTTACAGTGAAGGTGATTTTCTCTGATGATATGATTTAATTTCTTGTTTTTTATTTTTTGCATATCCATTTTATGTATTTTGATTTGAGGTTATCATGAGGCTTGAAGATACTATCTTATAACCCATTATTTTTAACAGATGGCAACTTAACACTGATTGCATGAACAAACACACAAACAAGAAAAAAGAAAACTAATACAAACTCTACACTTTAACTTTGTCCCCCACCCTGTTTAAAGTTTTGTTGTTTCTCTTTATGTCTTATATACTGTCTACATCTTGAAAAGTTGTAGTTATTATTTTTAATTGGTTCATTATTTAGTCTTTCTACTTATGATCAGAATAGTTTATATCCCACAATTACAGTATTATAATATTCTGTGTTTTTCTGTGTGCTTGCTATTACCACTGAGTTTTGTACCTTCAGATGACTTTTTAATGCTCATTAACATCCTTTACTTTCAGATCAAATAACTCCCTTTAGCATTTCTTGTAGGACAGGTCTGGTGTTGATGAAATCCCTCAGCTTTGTTTAACTAGGCAAGTCTTTATTTCTCCTTCATGCTTGAAGTATATTTTTGCTAGATATACTACTCTAGGGTAAATGGGTTTTTTTTCCCTTCAGCTCTTTAAATATGTCACGCCACTCACTCCTGGTCTGTAAGGTTTCCACTGAAAAGGCTGCTGCCAGATGTATTAGAGCTGGATTGTATGTTATTTGTTTCTTTTCTCTTGCTACTTTTAGGATTCTTTCTTTAGCCTTGACCTTTGGGAGTTTGATTATTAATGCTTTGAAGGAGTCTTCTTTGAGTTAAATCTGCTTGATGCTCTATAACTTTCTTGTACTTGAATATAGATATCTATCTCTAGGTTTGGGAAGTTCTCTGATATTATTTCTTTGAATAAATTTTCTACCCCATCTCCTTCTCTATATACTCTTTAAATCCAGTAACTCTTAGAATTGCCATTTTGAGGCTATTTTCTAGACCTTGTAGGCATGCTTTGCTCCTTTTTATTCTTTTTTCTTTTGTCTCCTCTGTGTATTTTCAAATAGCCTGTCTTCAAGCTCACTAATTCTTCTGCTTGATCAGTGCTGCTATTAAGAGACTCTGATGCATTCTTCAGTCTGTCACTTGCATTTTTCAACTCCAGAATTTCTTTTTAATCCTTTAGTTCCATTTCTTTGTTAAGTTTATATGATAGAATTTTGAATTCCATCTCTGTTATTTTGAATTTCTTTGAGTTTCCTCAAAACAGTTATTTTGAATTCTCTGTCTGAAAGGTCACATATCTTTGTTTCTCCAGGACTGATCCTTGCTGCCTTATTTAGTTCTTTTGGTGAGGTCATGTTTTCCTGTTTGGTTTTGATTATTGTAGATGTTCACTGTTGTCTGTGCATTAAAAAGTTAGACATTTATTGTGGTCTTTGCAACCTGGGCATCATAATCTGTGCCTATCCTTCTTAGGAAGGCTGTCCAGGTATTTGAAGGGACATGGGCCCCAAGCCCAGTAATGCTGTGATTCTTGCAGACTCCTGGAGGTACCATTGTAGTGGTCTCATATAAGATCTGGAAGAATTCTCTGGATTACCAGGCACGGACTCTTGTTCTTGTCCCTTACTTTTTTCCAAACAAATGGCATCTCTATACTGAGCTGCCTGCACCTAGAAGTGGGGTGATGCAAGCACCCATGTGACCACCAGGATTGGAACTTTCCAGGGTCAGACCTGAAGCCAACACAGCACTGGGGCTCATCCAAGGGCCACTGTAATCACTACCTGGCTAGAACCTACACTCACTCAAGATCCTTGAACTCTTCAATCAGCAGATAACGAAGTCAGCCAGGTTTGTGTCCATCCCTTCAGGGCAGTGAGGTCTCCCAGGCCCCAAGCAGGCCCAGAGATGTTGTTTGGGAGCCAGGAATTGGAGTCAAAAACCTTAGAAATTGGCTAAGCATGGTGGCTCACACTTGTAATCCCAACACTTTGGGAGGCCAAGGTCAGAGGCTCACTTGAGACCAAGAGTTCAAAACCAGCCCAGGCAAAATAGAGACACATCGTGTCTACTGAAAATGAAAAAATTCACCAGGGCATGGTGACATGTACCTGTAGTCCCAGCTAGTTGGGAGGCTGAGGTGGGAAGATTGCTTGAGCCCAGAATGTTGAGACTGCAGTCAGCCCTGATTGTTCTGTTGTACTCCAGCCTGTGCAACAGAGCAAGACCCTGTCTCAAAATTTAAAAAAAAAAAAAAAAATCTTAGAAATCTACCTGGTATTCTACTTCAGCTAAGCTGGCACTCAGGCCACTTCCCACTCTTCCCTCCCTTTTCCACAGATAAAGTAGCCTCTCTCCAAGGCCACCACCACCACTGGCCCATGGGGAGTTCTGCCAGGCCACTACTGATGTTCACTTAAAGCCCAAAGGCTCATCAGTCAGCTTGTGGTGAATACTACCAAGCCTGGGATTCACCCTTTAGGGCAGGGGCAGTGGGTTGCCCTCTGGCCAAAGGCAAGTCCAGAAATGCTATCCAAGAGCCTATGACTGTACTTGGGAACCCAAAGAGCCTGGGTGGTACCTTTCATCAGACCTAGGACTCACTTGAACATGATTTTTATACCTATTGAATGATGTTTTCCCAAAGCAAACCCTCTTGACTATTCGACATGGGTCAAAGTGGTAAGCTTCAGGACACCACAGCAAGTAAAACCCTCTTTAATAATATTCTTGGCTGAATTTTTAAAAATTAAAAAGAAACAGAAAGGCATTTAATATATAAATGTAGCAGAGCTGATACCTCCACTGTGGCAGAGCTGGTACCTGTAGCCAGCATGTATCAGAGTCTCACCCAAGGCCCATGGTGTACTACCTGGGTGTTGCTGTTGGTTATTCAGGGCACAAGGGCTCTTTAATTAGGAGGTGATGAATCCTTCCAGGACTGGATCCTTCCCTTCATGGCAGAATATTCCCTTCTTTCCCAGAGTATGTCTAGAAATGTCTTCCAGGAGCTAGGGCCTGGGATGGGGGCTTCACAACTCTTCCCAGTGCCCTCTCCTACTGTGGGTGAGCTGGTATTCAACATGTAAGACAAAGCCCTCTTTATTCTTCTCTCTCCTTTTCTCAAGCAGAAGGAAGGAATCATTTTTGTTGTGGCAAGCGGCACTGCCTGGGGTTGTGGCAAGAGGTGGCACAAGCACTCCCCCAGCTACCCTGTCTGGTGTCTCACTAGGTCACATTCCGCCCCATTTCATTGGTCCTAAGCCCAACATGGCATCAGGACTCACCGAAGAATTACAATCCTTGTATTCTAGACTGCCTTTCAAGTTCACTTAGCACCCAGAGCACTTTAGCCCACAGTGGCAAGGCTTGCTTAAACTCAAGTTTTGGGCACTGTGATGGGCACTTCCCCTCTGGCTAGGGCTGGTCCATACCCCCTTCATGAGTAGGTGCTGGCTGAGTTTAGCAGTTTTGCTTTCCACCATGACAGGGCAGCACTGGGTTCAATGCAAAGTCCCCCAGTAATTGTACTTTCCCTCCCCAAAGTGCACTGATTCTCTGTCTGCACCACGCAGCTGCTGCTGGGGTGATGTATGCAATTCAGCACTGTCTTTCCTACCTTCTTCAGTGCATCTTTCATTGATATGAAGTTAAAACCAGGGACTTACAGTGTTCACCTGATTTTTGGTTCTTATGAAGGTGCTTTCTTGCATACAGATAGTTGTTAAAATTTGATGTTCATGCATGGGGCGGTGGGGACAATCAGTGGAGACTTACATTGCCTCAGCTTGCTCTGTCCTGTCTGTGGCTCTAATTTTTAAAGCTAGGCATTTGCTTTGAAAAAAAAAATCAGATTAAATGAGGTTTTGTTTTGTCTAAATTATGCTTATTTTCATTTAGTTTTAGGGTTTAATAGCATTTCTACTTCATAAAATATTTTAGCAGAAACATCATAAAAGCAGCCATGAAAACTTATATGATACTAAACAACCTGTAATATTTTACCCAAAAATTGCCTGAACAAAATATTTTTCAGTAGCTCGACAAGTAACTATATTTGTAAGAAAAAAATGTTTCCCAAAGTAATAATAAGACTGAACTCTAATTTATTACAATTGCAAATTTCTTTTCCAAAAGTGTTGTGATCTTGACCCTAATACAATGATTAGACTCTCTACTTATTTGAAAACAGTACAACTTGATTTAATAGAATCATGTTTCTCACAACCAGTGGTCCCTTTAATGTCATGTCTTAGATTATATAAGTAATCTCAGTACACAAAGACAGAGCACTGCCATTCTTCATAGGAGCAGTTAAAGATAATATATAATTTAACCATCATTCACAGGCAAATCTATTAACAACCAACACAGTTATTTCTCCCTATGTAATCAACATTGTATTCGAGATAAAAAATATTATCCCTACTCCTGTGAATCTTAAGTATTAAGTAGCTAAAGTTAGCAAGTTTTGTGTTTTGCTTTTTTAATATGTTAGCTTAGAAGAAGTTTCGTTTTTTCATGTTTCCTGTAAGTAAAATTATATTAATTCCAGAATTACTCAGTGCAAATAACTGGATGCACTGGGGTAATGTCCTTTAAAATAAAGTTACTTGGACATAGATTTTATGTGGAGAAACTATATTATATCCACAGTTCATTCAGTCTAGTAATCTGCAAATAAGATGCTATGAGAAAAGGTTACCATTTTTCTTAACAGTATTATTCACATCATACACATGAGGAAACTGTTATGGAGAGATGTGAAGTAACTAGCCCAAGGTCATGGAGTTTATGAACAGCAGAACTGGGCCTTAACCACCATTGTTAGCTAAAATCACCACCTGGGCCTTTCCAACAGATTGAGACCACCAAAATTGCCTGTTTTTCCCCACACGGAACTTCCAATTTTAATGTACTCTGTAAATAAATGAAAACACAGAATACATTCGATAAACCAACTCTGCTCAGTCTTGTAAAATCACTATCAGAAATATTTATGTTTTCTCGGGCTAGAAAAATATTCCATAATTCATTTAATTTTGATTTTAATAAACAATGTTATAAATAAGTTTTTTTTTTCAGGACAAATATGCACACCCTATTTCATATACATAGGAAAGCCAAGTTAAAAGAACTAATTGTGCACCCAAAAAATACTCCCAGGGACAGATTCTCTAATCCCATTTCTAACCCACAGGTCTCACTCACATATAATTCTTATGTCTATTGAATGAGGTTTTCCAAAGACTCTTGGCCATTAAGCATGGGTCACGGTGGCAAGCTTCAGGGCACCACAGCAAGGAAAACTTTGTCAATATTCTTGGCTGATTTTTTTTTTAATTAAAAAGAAATTTAAAGGCATTCCAAATATAAAGAATAACTTCCCTTTCCTTTATAGTCAGGTTTGTTGTGCTTATTCCCAGCACAAATTAGGCATTCCATTATAAAATAGTTAGGGCTTCATTTTAAATTGTTTTTTGTGGTTGTAGTAGGTCACATTCAGGCATGTGTCAGGCCCTCAAAGCAACATGAACTCATTCTTAAACCAATTTCCTTGTTTTTCAGAAAAACAAAGAAGGTCCACCTGCTTCTATGATGAGATTTTCTCATTAATAAAGGCTTTTTAAATAAACTAAACCTATTTGTACTTTCCTAGTAATACTAAAACTTTTAATATTATGCTTGCTTATATTTATAAATAATCTGATGCAAATGTTATGAGTTCATCAGCCTACCATAGTCTCTTTTTACCAAGTTAGATTCTCCTATTTTCTAAAGACTGAGCTGCTCATCACCACCTCCCAAAGGCCTTTACCAAATCCTCCAGACTGACATAGGTATAGTTCCAGTATGTTACTACAGCACCTACAAAACAGTACTGTGTTAGCACACTGATATGGTTTGGATCTGTGTCCCCACCCAAATCTCATTTTGAATTGTAATCCCCAGTGGCAGAGGTGGGGCCTGGTGGGAGGTGGCTGGATCATGGGGGCGGATTTCCCCCTTTGGTGCTATTCTCATGATAGCGTTTTCACAAGATTTGGTTGTTTAAAATTGTATGGCACCTCCCACCACCCTTCCCACCCCACCCCATACACACGCCCCTCTTCTCTTCCTCCTGCTCCTGCCATGTAAGATGAACCTGCTTCCCCTTCACCTTCTGCCATGATTACCAGTTTCCTGAGGCCTCCCCAGCCATGCTTCCTGTACAGCCTATGGAACCATGAGTCAATTAAACCTCTTTTCTTTATACATTACCAGTCTCAGGTATTTCTTTATAGCAGTGGGAGAACAGACTAATAGACACAACTGTACTCTAATATCTCTATGTGTTTGTCCCCCTTCCAGAATGTAAACCTATGGAAGGCAAAGGCCTTATCTTATTTGCCTTTTAATCACATGTAATAAACTCATTTGGGAAAAAGGTACAAAAGTCAATCACAGCTCTTTCACTTCTCCTTTCCTTCCCATCCCTTCTTTTCTGAACAACTCAGATCATTATTATGTGGGGTAAAACAAGGAAGATGTCTAGGTGCAAAACCTAAGCAGGGTAAGAAGGGTGTCCAGGCAATAGGATTGTCCAGCATGGAGAGTTAATACCTGAATGGGGTCAGGAGAGCATTCATGTGAGGAGGCAACGTAGTGCAGGAAGCCAAGTAGGTGTGACACAGGGGGTACAACCAGGGCAGGCTATTAGAGTCAGAGCAGGGTGAGGAAGAAGTTCATGAATTGTGGCAGCATTGTGTGGAGAGTCAGGACCCAAAGAGAGTGAAGAGAACATCCAGCATGGAGGTGACCCAGCCCAGGGTGCCAGAGCCCATGCTGGCTGTGGAGGATGTCTGTGTGGGAAAAGACCTCGAGCAGAATGCTGAAGTCCAAGCAAGGTACGAAGATCATCCTCATGGAGGGGCATTCTGGCACGGGGTATCATGGCAGAGCCCATTTGAGTGGGGCGGACATTCCCACAGAGGGTCTGGGCTCCAGTGCAGTAATGAGAGCATCTGTGCAAGAGTGGTGACCTGGTGTGAGATCAGTGCCTGTGCTAGTGTGAAAGCAAGAGGAGTGGTAGTCAGAGACAGAGCAGGGGGAGAAGGAACTGCCAAACAGGGAGATGGCCTACTGTGAGGTGCTGGCCAACCAGGGTGAGAAGGGCATTGCCATGAAGGCCAAGGGGATGCTGGCCAGGCCCAGGGTATCAATGTGAAGCTATAAGAGCTGGCTTGGGGTTTTGGAACATAGGGATAGTGAGCAAGGCATCCACTCATGACATTGGTTACATTCACAGGGTTGAACAAGCAAGTAAACCTGAACAAAGAATTTCTGTATTAATGATAATGAGTCAGATTTCTTTTTTTTTTTTTTTTGTAACTTTCATTTTAAATTCAGGGGTACATGTATAGGATGTGCAGGTTTGTTACATAGGTAACCATGTGTCATGGGGGACTGTTGTTGTACCAATTATTTCATCACCCAGGTATTAAGCCTAGTATCCATTAGTTATTTTTCCTGATCCTCTCCCTCCTTCCACCCTCTACTCTCAGACAGGCCCCAGTGTCTGTTGTTCCCCTCTATGTGTTCCTTTGTTCTCATCACTTAGCTCCCACTTATAAGTGAAAACATGTGGCATTTGGTTTTCTGTTCCTGTGTTAGTTTGCTAAGGATATTAGCCCCCAGCTGCATTCATGTCCCTGCAAAGTACATGATCATTTTCCTTTTTATGGCAGCATAGTATCCCATGGTGTATATGTACCACTTCTTTTTATCCAGTCTACCATTGATGGGCATTTGGGTTGATTCCATGTCTTTGCTATTGTGAATAGTGCTCCAGTGAACATAGGCATGCATGTGTCCTTATGACATAAAGATTTATATTCCTTTGGGTATATACTCAGTAATGAGATTGCTGCGTCAAATGGTGTTCCTGCCTAGGTCTTTGAGAAATTGCCACACTGTCTTCCACAATGATTGAACTAATTTACACTCCCACCAATAGTGTACAAGCATTCCTTTTTCTCCACAACCTCGCCAGCATCTGTTATTTTGTGACTTTTTAATAATAGCCATTTTGACTGGCATGAGATGGTATCTCATTGTGGTTTTGATGTGCATTTCTCTAATGATCAGTGATGTTGAGCTTTTTTTCACAAGCTTGTTGGCCACATGTATGTCTTCTTTTACAAAGTGTCTGTTCATGTTCTTTGCCCACTTTTTAATGGGGTTATTTGTTTTTTTCTTGGAGAGCTGGATTTCTTACTGACAAATACTCTTATAAAAAGGCTAAAATTCAAATGGACCCTGAGGATTTGATATTTGGATTCTACATTCATCTGGGAGAACAACAGGAAAGTATAGTTCAAAACTATTCTAAAATTCAAAATAATTTAAAATATACTAATAGCCAGTTCTTCTGAATACACTTAAAATATATTAACCAGTACAGTTAAAACATATATTGGTATATTTTAATGAGATAACATTTTAAATGCTATATAGTATACCAGTCTTAGTATATTTAAATTTTTGATATAAAACCTCAAAAGAATCAGTGGGGAGAAAGGGTAATTCACTGACAGTGGCAGATCCTGACCTGAGGCACTGGCAGAATGGTATAAACTTACTACCTGTCATAGTGTCTACTGCCCCACAGGAAGCTCACACATCCCTCCACACCAATCCGCAGGAATACAGGCTGACCCGTGCAGCCTATTTCTACCCATTGTTCTCCTGCTCAAACATATATGGAGTTTGATCTGCCAGTAAGCTACATATGTAAACTTCAACCTGTTTTTGCAAGAATTCTCATTCTCTCCAAGTAATTCACTTGGAAACCATTATTCTCTGTCTGTCTCTCTTGCCTTCTTCCCCTTATTTCCTCTCTCTATCCAACTCCTCCTAGAGTTCTCTTATATAAGTGGAAGGAGCCTAGAGTTAGAAGGAGGGTTAGTATGTGATTGGGAACTGCAGACCCTATTTGAGCCCTGGAGGGTTGGTCACACTACAGCTCTCTTTAGAACATGAGGTACTGGCTGTACCATATGTCCTTGGTTTTGTCCCTTAGTCCAGAGCAACAGGAGAAGTCCCACTTAATAACCTAATACTTATGTTAATGAAAATAAAAATGTTGGGAAAGATAAACACAAAACTAGTGACCATGGTTAAATCCAGTAGGGGACTGGCATGGGGAACTGGAAAAAAGGGAACAAACCCATGTACCCTCTCAATCTTTTCCAAGACTATGTTTATGTATTACTTGTTAACTTAAAATAAACTTTTAAAAAATCAAAAGCAATTAAAAATGTAAAAACTAATTACAGTCTACTGTACAATAGTAGTGAATATAAATCACAGAATGGAGATTGGCCATATAAGTAAATATATATGCATATCTCACACAAATAAATTTTTAAACCTTAAAACTTTTATGATTTAATGAGTTACAAACATAAATTAGCTACTCATAAAGGAAGAAAAACAAACTTAAAAGTTATTGTTTCCTTAAGGTGTTGGATTCCTAGTGGCATTTCTTTCTTCTTTTTTCTAAAATTTCTATAATGAACATCTTTCTAAAATTAGGATGAAAAAAAATCAATAAAAAGCCCCTCTCATCTCTATCGTCCTTCTCCCCAATGAAGTGTGTGTGTGTGTGTGTGTGTGTGTGTGTGTGTGTGTGTGTATGTCAAATAAATACAGTTGGTAAAACTGAGTCTGAATATTAGTAAAATAAAAAGATAAAAATAAGTATAGAAACTCAAACCCAGTAAGGAAACTTGATGATGTATCCTTTTTCCAAAGGGACAAATGTATAAAAACAGCTTTAATGATCTGATATTTTATCATTGGTTTTATATTTTTTAAAAGTCACTGGATTTTTAATACAGCATTCTTTTGAGAAGTATCAAGACAAAGAAATTTAAGTTCTTGAATTAAGCAATAAATATATGACTTTTTATAATTTTAAAACTTTCTATAAACAAGTTCCTACAGCTTGCTGGCTTTTTCTTTTCCTTTTAATTCCTTTTTCTTCAGAAGGAAGTATGCTAAAAATCTTTCTTGGTAAAAAAGAAAATTTCTTTCCTCTGGCCTTAAATAACTCTGACATTTAATACAACTCTTTTTTAAGTTTTATAATGTATTTTCCTTCAAAAAGAAAAGTGCACTAGGCTTGTGAACTAATCTTATATCTAAAATTAACCTGTGAATCAACCAGCCAAATATACAATTGTGATCTATATACATAATAGACAATTTTCTTCAAGAAGTTAACTAACCCATAATGAAATCAAACACGAAGACACTCACATCATTTGGGCCAGCTCTCTGATGTAACCAAGGAAAGCTGGAAATGGAAGGAGGTAATGATCCAACAAAAGATACAGGAACCCTCCTATGACTAGGAAGGGTGAAGCCTGACTTACTCCCAAAAGCAGTCTTTGACAATTCAAGGACACAATTTAATTAAATGCCAGTGCATTTAATCCTTCTATCCTTGCAAATGGTAAAATCCTATCAACTGAAAAAGAAACTGTAAATTATATATTTCCTGAATCAAAGAAGAAAGTCAATGGAAGTAATGTAGTTATATGATATCATTTTAATCATTTAAAACAATCTTGGGTATCCTTATAAATTAAATAAAAAAGAACAGATTTTTTACCTAATCAAAAAGAAGCAAGATTTTTTTATGAAATGAAAAATACTATGTAACAGATATACAGACACATTCCTTTTTTAACGAGTGGGAAAATTTACTATTTTTTCCACATTTGAAAGTATTGCTTTTATTATTTTACGTGGACTCAACTTCACTAAAACTGAAGCGATAAACAGGGCAGTATTAAGCAAAAGCTTCTTTGTGAACTGGTGACTATCTCATCCAATTCTACATAAAAGTCTGTTAAAGGGGAGTTAGGATTTTAGCAAGTTAAACATTTGTCACACAGAAAATAGTAGGCAGTCTTCCCTGGAGATCTGGGGTCGCTGGACATTTATGCGAGTGAGCAACGTGCCCCTGATCACAGCAGGAAGGCTTGCAAACGTGACACGTTCAGTGACAAAGCAAGGGCTCTAATTAGCGAAGGGTTCCGGTCTGACAGTAAAGGGCTTAACCTTTCTTGGGAAATAATGAGCCAGACAATGTTTGAAGCCTCCATGTAAGTTTCAGAGAAGAATGAAGGATGCTGAGAACTGCCTTACATATGCTAAACTGACAGACACAGGTGACCGAACAATGAACTGTACACTTAGCAATGAACGAGAAAACACTTGATAGATGCTAGTGTCCTCCAGAGCAGCATTCCTCTTGTGTCCCTGAATTAAGATGAAACAATTTGATAGGTCGCATTATTTAGTTGCGTTGCTTTAAAGAAAATAGAAAACTTTTTTCCTCTATATATAAGGGATATATATTCTAAATATAGGGGATATATTTTCTGAAAACTTTTCCCAAATACCAACTTTCTGATAAGGCAACATCTGTGAACTTCACTGAAGATCAGAGGCAAATCTCAGTTAAAAGGCAAATCACGGCCGGGCGCGGTGGCTCACGCCTGTAATCCCAGCACTTCGGGAGGCCGAGGCAGGCGGATCACGAGGTCAGGAGATCAAGACTATCCTGGCTAACGCAGTGAAACCCCGTCTCTACTAAAAATACCAAAAAAAAAAAAAATTAGCCGGGCGTGGTGGCGGGTGCCTATAGTCCCAGCTACTCCGGAGGCTGAGGCAGGAGAATGACGTGAACATGGGAGGCACAGCTTGCAGTGAGCCGAGATTGCGCCACTGCGCTCCAGCCTAGGGGACAGAGCTAGACTCCATCTCAAAAAAAAAAAAAAAAAAGAAAGAAGAAAAAAGGCTAACCACTCATTGGCAAACACAAACATCCAGTGCATCCGTGCATCCAGTGGTTAAAATTACCTAGTATGACATCCAAGCCAAGGGTCCAAAAACTAAGTAAATGAGAACATAGCCTTCTTGTCTTCTAATGTAAAAAATTATTAGTGCTCCCAAAAGTTGTTTACATACATAAATTTTTACTTTTAACTGCACAAACTCTGAAGAGTATAAAAAAAGAAATGTACCCTGACTTTTTATTAAATGTAATTGAATCTGAGGGAAAAACACTCATTTTTTATTGTCTACCAAAACAATATGTATTATTTAATACATAAAGTAGGTAACTATTAATCATTCATTTTTTCTACTTCATCCACTCAACTTCTATTTGTTACACCTAAAATAGCTAAGTCTTCTAGGATATTTATAAATAAACTGATATACATGTATGTAGTGTATATAAAAATACTGATGTTTACACACATTCCATCAATGCTGAGTTGTCTTCCAGTATTTGTTTAGAAGGTATTAAAACTTTTGGTTCAGTAATAAAATACTAATTGTGTTTGCTAAAACATGCATCTTAAGAATTATAAACCCCAAGCCAGGTGCAGTGGCTCACGCCTGTAATCCCAACATTTTGGGAGGCCAAGGCTGGCAGTTCATCTGAGCTCAGGAGTTGGAGACCAGCCTGGGCAACATGGTGAAAGCCCATCTATACAAAAAATACAAAAAACAGCTGGGTGTGGTGGTGCACCCGTAGTCCCAGCTGCTCAGGAGGCTGAGGCAGGAGAATCGCTTGAACCCAGGAGGTGGAGGTTGCAGTGAGCCGAGATGGTGCCATTGTACTCCAGCCTGGGTGGCAGAGCAAGACCTTATCTCAAAAAAAAAAAAACTCCAAGTAAATCAAGTTAATAGACCAGCAATAATAGTCTTAAATAAAGCACAAGAATTGGGGTTAGGAATTTTAAATGAAGACTACTGCAAAACAAATATCTGGTATATGTACTTACTGTATTACCTTTACAAACACTGAAAACCCTTAAATTCTGAAATATACCTGTCCCCAATGATTTCAGCTTTATGGACTTCAGGGACTGTAGATCTGTACATTTGTTTTCCCAATCAGGACACTGAGAATCAGGTTTTTTATTTTCTCTAATAGAAATATTTCAAAATAGCAAGCATACATAGACTCTGGAGGAAGAGAGAAAATATAAGATTTGCGTAAAACTGTATTTGTTTCATTTTCCTTCGCTTGTTGCCATAGGCAACAATTTTCTCTTGGGGCAAAATAGTAACAGCTCTGCTGTACCATGACAACAGGAAAAACAAAGGCACATTATCCACCCCATCCCTTGTTAGGTGAAGAGTGAACTGTGCTCTGGTGAATGTTCAAAAGTGCCCTGAACCTTCCAGCATAAATGAATGTTCAAGGATTACATGGAACACAGGATCAGGTTAACCAGTAGGTTGGGAAAAACACTGGTGATTCAAAAAGACAAGATAATGAATGCAAGCTACGTTATTTGGAAGAAAGTTACTAAATTTGAAAATCAGTTGCTTGTAGGGAATAAATGTCAACATTGAAGAACATCACAAAGTTTCAATTGCTTATGTTGATAAAATCAGCAACATAGTCTTATGGTTATAAAATTAGCTGACATAGTCTTCCAAAACAAGTTTTATATCAGGAAAATATAAAATACACCTATTTGTGACCAAAGAAGGCAATAGTACTTACTACCTTCTAGCAGACTATATCATTTTCTTATTATGCTATATATTAATTATATTAATATAACTAAATTATATTAAAATAATATTATATTGATTATTATTTGTCTCCCCTGCTAGAATATAAGCTTCACTCTGGCAGAGATTTTCATTTGTTGTTCACCATGCATGCAGAACAACACCTGGTATATTCCACAAATAATCATGAAATTAATGACTAAAATTTAAAAGTAAAATTAAAACAAAGAAAATAATTCGATTGAAAACACATTACAGTAGAATTGAATCAGACATTAATTTTTAAAAATAATCTCCAGGAAAAGCGAATCTGTACTTACTAAAGAAAAGGTGTCTCTTACCAGGCCCTGTAGCATTGCCCTAAAGTATTACCCTATAGGTAATGGGAGAAAACTGTCTTCATGGTGGACAAGTGGAGCACACAGGTTTTCCCACCTCGCAGACCCAGCTCACTACTCTCCGGATAGTAATACCTAGCTCTGCTACTTTCCATCTGAACTGATTCTACCAGAAAATTTATACTGCTACTTATTCAAGAGACTAAACATGGACTAAATGTTTAACTCCAAGGTCCTAGAAACAGATGTGAATAAGGATTGAAGCCAAAAAAGTAGACATGGAATGAGACTATAAGGATTTCTACATTCTCCCTGCTTATCTAGGCATTAAATTTTAAGATGATCACGGAAAAGCACAACTGCAGCTTTTGGCTTAATCACAACTTGATCATTAAATATGATTTAAAATTTGAGCTTACTGAATTCTAAGGATAGTTCAAAATGTTTAGCAAGCTGTAGATAACAAATGAGTGTGTTACACTGTAGAAGCAATTAAGTTGGTGATGAATTTTGTGAAGGGTAAAACTGAACCTGTTCTTCCTAATTACAAACCCTCTCCATCCCCGAATATACTAACCACAACTACCACAATTCCTACCATTTTCACGACAAAGGAAGGTATTGTCTTGAAGATATCACTGGCCTCCTTCTTGCCCAATTCCCTTCTCAATTGTTCTTTGTCTAGCATTTCATGATGCTCCTCTTTTTGTTAGGTGGCACTCCACAATCCTAGATATTTTTCTGTTTGTATAAACCGTTTTTCTGAGACATTTCATACCCCTCCTCAACTGAAGTCATCCTATAGGGCTGGCCTTTCTTTTTTGTTCTTTTTCTTTTATTTCCCTTGACAATCCATACACTCATAATTTCACCTACTAGAGAGGATGCTTTCTTGCAACAGGTACCATGTTGATGCTCAGTACGTGTTTGTTGAATGAATAATTCCCATTCTGGCCTATCATCAAGCCTATCATGCTTGTCACATGGAATTGTAAGATGTTGATTAAAATATGCCAATACACAAACTTAACAAACAAAATCTTTTAACTAGTAAAGAAAACAAAAACTTAAAGAGACAGCTACATAAAACAAGAATCAATACAGCATATTCCTAGACAAAGGAATAGGCTTCTCATGCCCGCAAGTACCCATGAAAACAAATACTACAAGAAAGGTTTCCACCAAAGGAGAAAGGCTCAGCCTTGCCATCTTCAGCACTCACAAGAAAATTCATGTGATTCTTCTCTATGTCCTTATTTGCTCTTTCAGGCTAGTGGCTGTTGTAAAGCAACTCCAGCACATTCCTGAATGTTCACTGTGAGACTAGAAGAAATAAGACAACATCTCTCAGGAGACTGGGTTTAGGCCTGACCTAGATCCATTTCTGTAGGCCTCCAATATCATTTACCCATAAAATATTGTCAAGTCCTGCCTTAAAATTAACAGTTTCAAATACATCTTCCTATTCAAAACAATGTCCTGTCCTATAGCTCCTTTTTCTCATCACAAGGTTTAAAAAAATAAATGTATCTACCTTGCATTCTAAATGATTAACCTTAATGATTCTTCTTTGTATTGGCTACTCTATTACATCCTATTCCCATAGCCACGATATTAGTCTAGGTTCATAGCAAACTTGAATTGAACATATCGGTTCTGGGCTGAATGGTGTCTCCCCAGAATTCATATGTTGATAACGTGACTATATTAGGAGCTATTACGTGACTATTTCGGTGCTAAAGAAATGATCAAGGTAAAATGAGGTCATTAGGGTGGGCCCTAATCCAGCATGAATGGTGTCCATATAAAAAAAAAAATTAGAACACGGACACACAAAGAGGAAAGGTCATGTGAAGAAAGAGGGAGAAGATACCATCTACAAGACAAAGAGAGAGGCCCTCAGAAGAAATCAACTCTGCTGATTTCTTCATCTTGGATTTCTAGTCTCTACAACTGTGAGGAAATACATTTCTATTATTTAAGCTACCCAGTCTGTGGTACATTCTTATGGCAGCCCAAGAAAATCAGTACAACATCCATATCATTATTTGATCCATTAACTTAGCCAATAAACCCTTGTTCTCCAGGCATAGTAAAAATCCAATATGTTTTCCTCTTGGTTTGGGGTTTTTGTCTCTTTTTTCAGTTTCCCTGATCTGAATGGCACACGTTAAGCATCATTTCTCCTGATCCTCTGCCCTTCTTTCAATGTTTCCAATCATATCCATCACCTCAGGGCTGTTTTGCAGATGCTCCCCTTCAATCATTCCAATCCAAACCAATTCACTCTATATACTTCTTTAAATTTAAGCCTCCTCTATAAAAAATGTCCTTGGAATTAAAAAAAAAAAAAAGAGTCCCGAGCCAAGATGGCCAAATAGGAACAGCTCCGGTCTACAGCTCCCAGCATGAGCGACACAGAAGACAGGTGATTTCTGCATTTCCATCTGAGGTACCGGGTTCATTTCACTAGGGATTGCCAGACAGTGGCTGCAGAACAGTGGGTGCAGCGCACTGTGCACGAGCCGAAGCAGGGTGAGGCATTGCCTCACTCGGGAAGTGCAAGGGGTCAGGGAGTTCCCTTTCCTAGTCGAAGAAAGGGGTGATAGACAGCACCTGGAAAATCGGGTCACTCCCACCCTATTACTGCACTTTTCCAACGGGCTTAAAAAATGGCACACCAGGAGATTATATCCTGCACATGCCCCAGAGGGTCCTACGCCCACGGAGTCTCACTGATTGCTAGCACAGCAATCTGAGATCAAACTGCAAGGCGGCAGTTTGAGGCTAGGGGAGGGGCACCCGCCATTGCCCAGGCTTGCTTAGGTAAACAAAGCAGCTGGGAAGCTCAAACTGGGTGGAGCCCACCACAGCTCAAGGAGGCCTGCCTGCCTCTGTAGGCTCCACCTCTGGGGGCAGGGCACAGACAAACAAAAAGACAGCAGTAACCTCTGCAGACTTAAATGTCCCTGTCTGACAGCTTTGAAGAGAGCAGTGGTTCTCCCAGCACGCAGCTGGAGATCTGAGAACGGGCAGACTGCCTCCTTAAGTGGGTCCCTGACCCCTGACCCCCAAGCAGCCTAACTGGGAGGCACTCCCCAGTAGGGGCAGACTGACACCTCACACGGCCGGGTACTCCTCTGAGACAAAACTTCCAGAGGAACGATCAGACAGCAGCATTCGCGGTTCACAACAATCCGCTGTTCTGCAGACACTGCTGTTGCTGATACCCAGGCAAACAGGGTCTGGAGTGGACCTCTAGCAAACTCCAACAGACCTGCAGGTGAGGGCCCTGTCTGTCAGAAGGAAAACTAACAAACAGAAAGGACATCCACACCAAAGACCTATCTGTACATCACCATCATCAAAGACCAAAAGTAGATAAAACCACAAAGATGGAGAAAAAACACAGCAGAAAAACTGGAAACTCTAAGAAGCAGAGCGCCTCTCCTCCTCCAAAGGATCACAGTTCCTCACCAGCAACAGAACAAAGCTGGACGGAGAATGACTTTGATGAGTAGAGAGAAGAAGGCTTCAGACAATCAAAATACTCCAAGCTACAGGAGGAAATTCAAATCAAAGACAAAGAAGTTAAAAACTTTGAAAAAAAAATTAGATGAATGTATAACTAGAATAACCAATACAGAGAAGTGCTTAAAGGAGCTGATGGAGCTGAAAGCCAAGGCTCGGGAACTACGTGAAGAATGTAGAAGCCTCAGGAGCCGAAGCGATCAACTGGAAGAAAGGGTATCAGTGATGGAAGATGAAATGAATGAAATGAAGTGAGAAGGGAATTTTAGAGAAAAAAGAATAAAAAGACACGAACAAAGCCTCCAAGAAATATGGGACTATGTGAAAAGACCAAATCTATGTCTGATTGGTGTACCTGAAAGTGACAGGGAGAATGGAAACAAGTTGGAAAACACTCTGCAGGATATTATCCAGGAGAACTTCCCCAATCTAGCAAGGCAGGCCAACATTCACGTTCAGGAAATACAGATAATGCCACAAAGATACTCCTCGAGAAGAGCAACTCCAAGACACATAATTGTCAGATTCACCAAAGTTGAAATGAAGGAAAAAATGTTAAGGGCAGCCAGAGAGAAAGGTCGGGTTACCCTCAAAGGGAAGCCCATCAGACTAACAGCTGATCCCTCAGCAGAAAATCTACAAGCCAGAAGAGAGTGGGGGCCAATATTCAACATTCTTAAAGAAAAGAATTTTCAACCCAGAATTTCATATCCAGCCAAACTAAGCTTCATAAGTGAAGGAGAAATAAAATCTTTTACAGACAAGCAAATGCTGAGAGATTTTGTCACCACCAGGCCTGCCCTAAAAGAGCTCCTGAAGGAAGCACTAAACATGGAAAGGAACAAGCAGTACTAGCCACTGCAAAATCATGCCAAATTGTAAAGACCATCGAGGCTAGGAAGAAACTGCATCAACTAACGAGCAAAATAACCAGCTAACATCATAATGACAGGATCAAATTCACACATAACCATATTAACTTTAAATGTAAATGGACTAAATGCTCCAATTAAAAGACACACACTGGCAAATTGGATAAAGAGTCAAGACCCATCAGTGTGCTGTATTCAGGAAACCCATCTCACGTGCAGAGACACACATAGGCTCAAAATAAAAGGATGGAGGAAGATCTACCAAGCAAATGGAAAACAAAAAAAGGCAGGGGTTGCAATCCTAGTCTCTGATAAAACAGACTTCAAACCAACAAAGATCAACAGAGACAAAGAAGGCCATTAAATAATGGTAAACGGATGAATTCAACAAGAAGAGCTAACGATCCTAAATATATATGCACCCAATACAGGAGCACCCAGATTCATAAAGCAAGTCCTTAGACACCTACAAAGAGACTTCGACTCCCACACAATAATATTGGGAGACTTTAACACCCCACTGTCAACATTAGACAAATCAATGAGACAGAAAGTTAACAAGGATACCCAGGAATTGAACTCAGCTCTGCACTAAGTGGACCTAATAGATATCTAGAGAACTCTCCACCCCAAATCATCAGAATATACATTTTTTTCAGCACCACACCACACCTATTCCAAAATTGACCACATAGTTGGAAGTAAAGCTCTCCTCAGCAAATGTAAAAGAACAGAAATTATAACAAACTGTCTCTCAGACCACAGTGCAATCAAACTAGAACTCAGGATTAAGAATCTCACTCAAAACCGCTCAACTACATGGAAACTGAACAACCTGCTCCTGAATGACTACTGGGTACATAACGAAATGAAGGCAGAAATAAAGATGTTCTTTGAAACCAACGAGAACAAAGACACAACATACCAGAATCCCTGGGACGCATTCAAAGCAGTGTGTAGAGGGAAATTTATAGCACTAAATGCCCACAAGAGAAAGCAGGAAAGATCTAAAATTGACACCCTAACATCACAATTAAAAGAACTAGAAAAGCAAGGGCAAACACATTCAAAAGCTAGCAGAAGGCAAGAAATAACTAAAATCAAAGCAGAACTGAAGGAAATAGAGACACAAAGAACCCTTCAAGAAATTAATGAATCCAGGAGCTGGTTTTTTGAAAGGATCAACAAAATTGATAGACCGCTAGCAAGACTACTAAAGAAGAAAAGAGAGAAGAATCAAATAGACACAATAAAAAATGATAAAGGGGATATGACCACTGATCCCACAGAAATACAAACTACCATCAGAGAATACTACAAACACCTCTACGCAAATAAACTAGAAAATCTAGAAGAAATGGATAAATTCCTTGACACATACACCATCCCAAGACTAAACCAGGAAGAAGTTGAATCTCTGAATAGGCCAATAACAGGCTCTGAAATTGTAGCAATAATCAATAGCTTACCAACCAAAAGGAGTCCCAGGACCAGATGGATTCACAGCCGAATTCTACCAGAGGTACAAGGAGGAACTGGTACCGTTCCTTCTGAAACTATTCCAATTAACAGAAAAAGAGGGAATCCTCCCTAACTCATCTTACGAGGCCAGCATCATCCTGATACCAAAGCCAGGCAGAGACACAACCAAAAAAGAGAATTTTGGACCAATATCCTTGACGAACATTCATGCAAAAATCCTCAATAAAATACTGGCAAACCAAATCCAGCAGCACATCAAAAAGCTTATCCATCATGATCAAGTGGGCTTCATCCCTGGGATGCAAGGCTGGTTCCATATACGCAAATCAGTAAATGTAATCCAGCATATAAACAGAACCAAAGACAAAGACAAAAACCACATGATTCTCTCAATAGATGCAGAAAAGGCCTTTGACAAAATTCAACAACCTTCATGCTAAAAACTCTCAATAAATTAGGTATTGATGGGACGTATCTCAAAATAATAAGAGCTGTCTATGACAAAGCCACAGCCAATATCATACTGAATGGGCAAAAACTAGAAGCATTCCCTTTGTAAACCAGCACAAGACAGCGATGCCCTCTCTCACCACTCCTATTCAACATAGTGTTGGAAGTTCTGGTCAGGGCAATCAAGAAAGAGAAAGAAATAAAGGGTATTCAATTAGGAAAAGAGGAAGTCAAATTGTCCCTGTTTGCAGATGACATGATTGTATATCTAGAAAACCCCATCGTCTCAGCCCAAAATCTCCTTAAGCTGATAAGCAACTTCCACAAAGTCTCAGGATACAAAATCAATGTGCAAAAATCACAAGCATTCTTATACACCAATAACAGACAAACAGAGCCAAATCATGAGTGAACTCCCATTCACAATTGTTTCAAAGAGAATAAAATACCTAGGAATCCAACTTACAAGGGATGTGAAGGACCTCTTCAAGGAGAACTACAAAGCACTGCTCAATGAAATAAAAGAGGATACAAACAAATGGAAGAACATTCCATGCTTATGGGTAGGAAGAATCAATATCGTGAAAATGGCCATACTGCTCAAGGTAATTTATAAATTCAATGCCATCCCCATCAAGCCACCAATGACTTTCTTCACAGAATTGGAAAAAACTACTTTAAAGTTCATATGGAACCAAAAAAGAGCCCGCATTGCCAAGACAATCCTAAGCAAAAAGAACAAAGCTGGAGGCATCACACTACCTGACTTCAAACTATACTACAAGGCTACAGTAACTAAAACAGCATGGTACTGATAACAAAACGGATATATAGACCAATGGAACAGAACAGAGGCCTCAGAAATGACACCAAACATCTACCACCATCTGATCTTTGACAAACCTGACCAAAACAAGAAATGGGGAAAGGATTCCCTATTTAATGGTGGTGGGAAAACTGGCTAGTCATATGTAGAAAGCTGAAACTGGATCCCTTCCTTATACCTTATACAAAAATTAATTCAAGACGGATTAAAGACTTCCAACACTGGCCAGAACTTCCTAAAACCATAAAAACCCTAGAAGAAAACCTAGGCAATACCATTCAGGCCATAGGCATGGGCAAGGACTTCATGACTAAAACAACAAAAGCAATGGCAACAAAAGCCAAAATAGAGAAATGGGATCTAATTAAACTAAACAGCTTCTTTACAGCCAAAGAAACTACCAGCAGAGTAAACAGGCAACCTACAGAATGGGAGAAAATTTTTGCAATCTACCCATCTGACAAAAGGCTAATATCCAGAATCTACAAAGAATTTAAACAAATTTACAAGAAAAAAAACAATGCCATCAAAAAGTGGGCAAAGGATATGAAAACACACTGTTCAAAAGAAGACATTTATGCAGCCAACAGACACGTGAAAAAAATGCTCATCATCACTGGTCATCAGATAAATGCAAATCAAAACCACAATGAGATACCATCTCATGCCAGTTAGAATGGTGATCATTAAAAAGTCAGGAAACAACAGGTGTTGGGGAGGATGTGGAGAAATAGAAACACTTTTACACTGTTGGTGGGAGTGTAAACTAGTTCAACCATTGTGGAAGACAGTGTGACGATTCCTCATGGATCTAAAACTAGAAATACCATTTGACCCAGCGATCCCATTACTGGGTATATACCCAAAGGATTAAAATCATGCTACTATAAAGACACATGCACACATATGTTTATTGTGGCACTATTCACAATAGCAAAGACTTGGAACCAACCCAAATGTCCATCATTGATAGACTGGATTAAGAAAATGTGGCACATATACACCATGGAGTACTATGCAGCCATAAAAAAGGATAAGTTCATGTCCTTTGTAGCAACATGGATGAAGCTGGAAACCATCATTCTAAGCAACTATTGCAAGGACAGAAAACCAAAGACTGCATGTTCTCACTCACAGGTGGGAATTGAACAATGAGAACACTTGGACATAGGGCAGGGAACATCACACACCGGGGCCTGTCATGGGATGGGGAGATTGGGGAGGGATAGCATTAGGAGAAATACCTAATGTAAATGATGAGTTAATGGGTGTAGCAAACCAACATGGCACATGTATACATATGTAACAAACCTGCACGTTGTGCACATGTACCATAGAACTTAAAGTATAATTTAAAAAAAGAAAGAAAGTCATATATTAAAAATATGTATTTCTTATGCTGGAAATTCTATGGTCTTTCCTTAGGAAATTAAAAAAAAAAATTCTTGAACTATCACATGTAGATTTTTTTTTAGCCAGAAATTACTTTTAAGTGTTTACAGAAATGGAAATAATTTTGGCTTACACTGTATTCAAGTCAACTCTAACCTGTTAAGATACTAATATTTAAGATATCCCCAGAAAAGTCAAACCAGGTGGGCCATGCTTAAGACCAGTTAGGTCTATTCTCACAACTACATTCTAAACAATTTAATACCTGAAATAAAGGAAACGGTCTAAAAGTTAAAAAGCAAGTAAACAAATAAACAAAACTAAGTTTTCAATACACACCTATACATTTAAAATACACATATTTCAAAGGTATTTTAAATAACTAAAGACAAAGTGTTATGCTCGCAATATCACATTTTGCATCATAGAGTCTATTCGCTTCTGCTAGCAAGATTGGTACTAAAAGCAGGCACTGAATACTAATTTTAACAATACAAAACAACTGTTTTCATCTTTATACAGAACAAATATTAATTGTTTTCACACACGACTCTGTTTCTGTCAATATAATTATAGGCAATTATAATGTCAATTAATGAGAACTATATTATATCTTCACTAGATTGAAACAAAACTTTTAAACAAAATGGGTTCTACTTTATTGACAGAATTTCCAAAAGAAAAAAGTTTATACAAAGCCAATAATAAATTAATACCCTTCAAATATGTGTCATAAGTTTATGAAAGCCATAATACCTATTTTTCTAGATTGTTCCGTCAGATAATATAAGAACAATAAATATTAGAATATGTTATTATAATTTTTAACCAATTTTTATCTTTAGACTTAAAAGACTAGACAAAGACAAAAGGAAATAAATGCAGATGATTACAGTTTACTAGTCTGGAACATATTCTATGTTGAAAGATGAGGAAAAGTATGAAAATCAGAGAGATAACTGGTCTATCAGTCTGGATTTTATTTTTCATTTGTAAGAATCGAGAAACTCAAAGTAAATAGACTTAAACAAATTTTTAAGGGAAGAGAAAGATTTATTAGCTCATATCAAGGAGCAGATTTATATTCACAAACAGCCTAATACAGGACTGAAATATAACCAGAATCCTCCTTAACTTTTCTTCCTCTGGGTTGCTTAATTTTTAGGCTTCACATGGTAGCCCCTGAGAAATGCTAGGCTCTCCCTTGAATCTTTAATACTTATAAACCTCAATAATCACATCACTAAGCTCAAAGGAGGAAAGAAAGTATTTACCCCAACATTCCCACCAAAATCCTCCTGGGGTTTATTCTAATTGGACCAGTTTGGGTCACATGCCCTAAATGATACACTCCAAATGACTTGAGCTAACTGAGTCTCACCTCTGGAACTAGGTGTGAAGTCAACCCACTAGGGAATGTCGCCAGGAAAAGGGGAACATGGGTATTGGCCAGCAAACCACCACTATAAAAGGGTATGGCAAATCCCCAAATGCTGAACATATTTTTTCGGTATCAACTTCCGTTTTTCAAGCCAACTTTAAAAAATAATGTTAAAGAAATGTGCTTACTTTGATTGTATTGATTTTCTATAGCTGCATAACAAAAAACTTGGAGACTTAAAATAACACCCAGATGGAAGGGAGCCATGGGGCAAGGACCTCAGACTGGTCTCTAGTGGCTGACAGTGGGCCCCAGTTGACAACCACCAAGAAAATCAAGACAACTACCATAAGAAACTGAATTATGACAAAACAAAATGAGCTTGGAAGTGGACCCCAAGCTCATTTTGTTTTGTCATAATTCAGTTTCTTATGGTGGTTTTCCTGGTTTTCTCGCTGGTTGTCAACTGGGGACCACTCTCAGCCACCAGAGGCCAGTCGCAGGTCCTTGCCCCATGGCTCCCTTCTGTCTCAAAACCACCAATAGAGAACCTCTCTCAAGTTGAATCCTTCTCACATCTCAACTCTATCTGACTTCTGTCTCCGATCTCTAGAAACAGATTTAAAGGGCTCACATAATTAGGTGAGATTACCCAGATAATCTCCCTAATTTAAGGATCTTAATTCATCTGCATTTGGGATCTTAATTTATCTGCAAAATCTCTTCATAGCAGTACCTACATTAGTGTTTGGCAGAATAACTGGGTGAAGATGTATATGTACACCTGGGTCCAGAAATCTTGGGGACTATCTTTGAATTCTGCTGCCCACATTAGTGTATATATATTAATATATACACTATATATATATATACACACATATGTACGTATGTATATATATACATATATACACCTGTACATATATATATACATATATACACATGTACATATATATATATACACATATAGCTTTTAAGAAGTATGGGATGAGAATGGGCTGAAAGAAATGGAGGCGGATTTTGTTTTCTTAATAAATCCATTTGTTTTCTGGAACTACCACAAAAAAAAAAAGAAGTCTGTGGCACAAGGGAAATAGTCTAAAATTTTAAATTGCATGAAAAATAGAAAAGTAGAACCAAAGAGAACAAACTGGATGTTATGGTTCTTGTTTTGATTGGCTTTTTGGGTTTTGGTTGGCTTTCTGGTTTTTGTTTTGCTTTGCTTTGTTTTTTAGCAAGTCAAGTGACACATCTGGAACCTTAAATCAAAATTGTTTTTAAGGGGGAAGAAAGTTTATCTTTCAGAAAGGACAATACAATTATATAATAACTAAATTTGGAGCATAAGTCAAGCTCATTCTATGCTTTCTTAGAAAATAAAGAGGTAAAGCCAAAGAAATCTTCCCTAAAAACTCCAAATCAAATATGTTTATGGAAGTTCTAATTATCTTGGATATTTTCTGGTTAAAAGCATGTCTTGTTAAATGTCTCAGCTGTACAATACATTTTTAAAACGAAGAGAGAGAATGAGCAGAATGAACTACTTCTAGTCTTTTAAGAAACAAAGCTGCTCTTATATTTTCACTCCGGGTTGGTGATGTAAAAGTAAAGCACTGCCCCCTAGAGGAACAAGGACCTTCTAGAGCAGGCAGCTATTTCACAATCACGTAATGTTACACACATAATGTCCTAATTTCAGGTAGATGTCTTCTTTAGGACATAGAAGAAAAATAGAAAAATGTTGCAGTGTAAGAAATGCTAAAAAAATTTTAAAGACGTTTCAGATTTTTTTTCAAGAGATTACAGATTTGCTAAACTGTAATTTGGGGGGAGCAATTCATTTATAAGCTTTCAAATAATATTTTTGCATTGCAATTACAGAATAAACATTTGTCTTAGAGAATAGGAAGTTTTTAGTCTTTCTTCTTATAATTTTTTTTGTATAGACAGGGGTCTCTCTATGTTGCCCAGGCTAGTCTCAAACTCCTGGCCTCAAGTGATCCTCCCACCTCAACCTCCCAAAGTGCTAGGATTACAGATGTGAGCCACTGCACCCAGACTAGTCTTTCCTAAAATGTGCAGCTTTACATCTACCAGACTTTTCCCACAATTATTACAACAGAACTATGTGTAAAACATATATGATCTTATCTAAAATTATAAAGAAAAGTGGGAAACAAAATTGACCCACATGATTTTGCTACTATAGTCAAACTTACTATTAAAACAAGTAAGAAACAGAGGAAATCTAAAACTTCAACAGCTAGATTTGGCAAATCATGTCAAAAATTTCCCCATTACCAGGAGAATTCAGCATACTCACATTGTCTCTGAAGTCAAAATCAGAAACTATAACAAATCATTCAAATGTCTAGGTCTCTGTTTTTAATATAATTAATTGGGTGTTTTCAAATTATTCTCCCCAGAACCACAACTAGGAAGAGTTCTGGGTACTTATCTATGCTTCTACCAGAGCAGTCTTTATTTTATCTTCCTTTGGGGCTCCATACAAACTTTAAACAGAAGAAATGGTTCTTAGGGCTTTAAAAAAGAAGGAAGGAAGGAATGAAAGGAAGGAAGGAGACAGGGAGGAAAAGAGAAGGAAGACAGGAAGGGAGAAGAAAAAGCAGCTTGAAAACTGTTGGGGGAGATCTCTTTAAATTCCTCTCTTGTACAACTCTATTTCCTTCATTTTTGTCTCTCTAGGGATGGCAGCAGCAAGGGTCTGGATGCCTCAGGCTAGTTCCTAAAATAAGAGATCATACCAAGTACAAACTCGAGCCAGGCACAAAGAGATAAAATCCTGGTAGGGCATTCTACGCATGTTCTTGGTGTGGATTCTACATTGTAGAAAAGACTCTTACAAAAGCACACTTCATTTGAAGGTTGTCACTAAGAAAAAAATAAAATACACAGTAGAAGAGCACTTTACAATGGCGGCAAAGCACACTGTATGATAAGAAAGATGTCATCACGTAACATGGTATTTTTCTTCCTCCGCGCATATCTGCCAGCCAGCTCACACTGATTTTTATAATTAGACATGTCCCTCTTCCTTCCTGTCTCACCCCAAGTGCCATAGTATATTTACAGAACTACAAATATATCACAAGATAGCAGGGTGAAACATTTTATTGAACTATTAAGGAAAATTGCCAACAGAAGTTTCTGTTCTGCCTCTGTTGATTTTCCACAAGCAAAGGATTCAACTACTCTTTAGGACAGGATCTGAAAAGCACAGTCTTTTCTGCATCTTCAGAATCAACCATACTGTACCATAAAAGTTTCAATCAATTGTTTTGAATGCAAAGGTTATTTGACCAGGGCATGCAGAATTTTAGGATATAAACTATTTGTACTCATTTAGACGTGAAATCCAAACTGGCCAGGCTTACCACACAAAACTGGCTTGTTTTCATTCTTGCTCCATGAGGCAGTTACTGTTAACAGTAGGTAGCTAGTCAGGTATGAGCAGGGCAGAAGAGGGCTCCCACACACACACACACACCAGGAGTGTTGGGCAAACATCAGGTGATGGTCAGGCAGTTGTTAACTGTTTCTCTAAAGTAATAATTGGTCACAGCTGGCACCAGGGAAAAGCCGTCTCCTAAAAGATAGAAAACACCTGAAACTGATCAGCAGCTTCCCAGTAAGACCTCAGGAGTGGAGAGAAGTAAGGCAAGACCCCGGAAGTATGTCAACCTATAAAACCCCATGTCAAGAGGTCAAGCTGTGCACTTGGTTTCTCAAGTCAACCCCTTGGTCCTCTTCCCAGTTGTACTTTCCTTCTTTTCTTTTCTTTCCTTTCCTTATTGTTCTAAAGCTTTTTAATAAACGTTCACTCCCGCTCTGAAACATGCCTCAGTCTCTCCTTCTGCCTTATGTACCCCAGTTGAATTCTTTCTTCTGAGAAGGCAAGAACTGAAGTTGCTGCAGACCTATATTGATATGCCACCAGTAACTCAGTGTAACTTAGATGTCTGCTACCGCTGACATTACCACATGTGGCAGCACCTCCACAGACGAAATAAAAGTCTTCTTGAATAAGTTTCAGAATATCTCCTTCACTTTCTCCTGACATTCAGAGGTTGCTTACTACCCTAAAGTTTTGATGAGGAAGCAATTCAGAAGCCCTTCTATTTCCTTACCCCTCCAGTTAAGCCAAATCCCATCATTGCTCCACCTCTTCAGCCTCCACCCTCTCCTGTCCTCTCCTCCATACCCATCTGATAGGCCCTAAATCCCTTCTTCCCCCAGCTCAGTCAAGGAATCTTCATCTACTACAAAATAATCTGCCTTTATATAAGAGGGTTTAAAAACAACTCTCCCAATTAAGAAAATGTCTGATATGACTAAGCAGAAATACATTTAGAATATACATAAAATTAGAAAATAAGATTTTATCCCAGAACTTCTTCCAAAAAAAGAACAGAGATGTTTTAAAATGGTTGATCATTTGTGTCACACCAAGCTCTCAATCCAAATCCTATCCATGATTTTCTTTCTCACAAGTTTGGAAGAAATAATAATATTATGTTAACATCTTCAATAAATCATTTTTATAATGTAATCATGCTTTTCAAAGATTTCCCTAAATATAATAAAATCCTTTGTGTCTGGCTGCATGGCTGGTTAAACAATCTATAGAATGAATATTGAGGTTCTGAGAATGTCCAAAGCTTCCTGGAGGAAAGAAAATGAGTCTAGCATGGTCTGAATATTTGTTGTATCCTCTTAGAATTCATATGTTGAAACCAAATCTCCTTGTGGTGATATTAAGAGGTGAAGCCTTTGGGAGGTGAATAGGTCATAAAGACTGTGCCCTCATGAATGGGATTAGTGCCCTTACAAAAGAGGCCGGAGGGAGATTTTTCAGCCCTTTTTTGCCATGTGAGGACACAGCAAGAAGGCATCATTTATGAGGCAGAGAGCGAGACACCAAATCTACCAGCACCTTGGTCTTAGACTTTAAAGCCTCCAGAACTGTGAGCAGTAAATCTCTGTTGTTTATAAATTACTCACTCAAAGGTATTTTGTTATAGCAGCTTACATGGACTAAGACAGAGGCCAACTACTGTTCCTTGTTGAGAACCAAAGGTCCCCAAATTATTTATTATTCTTGTACCATTATAACAATAATTTATATTTATTGTGTATTTACCATGTGCCACATACTGAAAAAGCACTTGTTTACATATTAACCAACTCTAAGACTATGATTATCACCAGCATCTTACAGAGGAGGAAGAGGAACACAAACAGGTTAAGTGATCTGCCTATATTCACTAGCAAATGAGTGGCACAGCCAGGATTTAAACCCAGGCAGTCTGGTTCCAGGCCTCAACTAGTAATGAATATACTGAGACGCCTCCAAAAAGTCTACTGAGAAGTGGTGGTGTGCCTAGACTCTAAGAACACTACAGAGATTTCCCTCTCCTAGCAACATAGCCCTCAGAATTGTATACCACCCAGGGAGTTTTATTTACAATGACAATAAATACTTTGTTTAAAAAATGAGAATAGATATAGGTAATGGTTCTAATGCTATGGTTAGAAATTCTTTGATTAAC
Organism: Homo sapiens; assembly: GCF_000001405.40. Lineage (NCBI taxonomy): Eukaryota > Metazoa > Chordata > Mammalia > Primates > Hominidae > Homo > Homo sapiens. Next base: position 97,227,282 of record NC_000005.10, on the reverse strand, counting down.
AGTGCAAGAGGAGAAACATTTGAAGGTCATAGATTAATTCTCTGAATATTGTTCTTATAAGTTTCAAAACAGAAAAAGGATTATTATGTGTGGGACTTGATGAAGAACTCAGTCTTCTCAAAATGAAACTATTTCTTCTGCATTTTGTGAAAATCTTTTACATTCCTAATGTAAGTTTTCTCATTCCTAAAAATTTCTTTAAAATTCAAACAACAGAATAAAATAGCATAAAAAAGAGAAGAAACTTAAGTTGCGGTAAAAGCATAGAAAATATCATTCTTAATCAGCAGAACAAAAATCTCACCTTAGAAACACAAACAATTTATCCATATTAGGAGAAATGGTTTACAAATTTGAAGTTGCAATATGAAATGATTCATTCTGTTTGTCTTTTAAAAGGCGTGTGTTTCATGGTGATATTATAAATAATAAATTGAAATAAAATGGCCCATTTAGTACTGCATTGGACAACTAAAATCCACATAAATTAAAGTATTTTAAAATAAATCTAACATATCCTTTATAGGAATCTGACTTTAGAAATTACATTATTCTTAAGTCTATCAATTAACAGCAAAGAGATTCCTCTATGCTGAGGGCCTTGAAAAGCCAGACGTTTTAAGAAAATTTTCTTTTAAAAAAAGTAACAAAGTTATTATTTTGTACAAAAGTGCACTTTTTTTAGAATGAGAAATCACAAGAAATTATAGATTTTTAAGAAGCTGAAAAATATAAACATCACAACAATTTAAACAAATAATATTTTCTGTCTGCCAGACAAATTTCTATAATACATTTTTCTTATATTCTTTTGGCTGCATACTCTCTGACCACTTCTATAAGTATCAATTATTAGAAAATATCATCTTCCAGAATGACAAGAAAGCTAATTTTGTCTTTTTTCCAGCATGTCAATCTTTTAAAAGGACCCCTCACATGCCCTAAAGTTTAAGCTTTATTACTTTTATGGTAAATTCCCCTCTGCTTTGGACTAAAGTTGTCAAACAGTTTTGAAAAATATATAAACAGAAAATAAATGTTTTATTGATGCATAATCTTGCTATGATTTTTTTTTTAATTTAAGACAGAGTCTCACTCTGTTGCCCAGGCTACAGTGCAATGGCGCAATCTCGGCTCACTGCAACCTCCGCCTCCCGGGTTCAAAAGATTCTCCTGCCTCAGCCTCCCCCATAGTTGTGATGACAGGCATGAGCCACCACGCCTGGCTAATTTTTGTATTTTTAGTAGAAACGGGGTTTCACCATGTTGCCCAGGCTGGTCTCGAACTCCTGGCCTCAAGGGATCCACCAGCCTCAGCCTCCCAAACTGCTGGAATTACGGATGTGAGCCACCACGCCTGGCCTATTATTTTGATTTATAATTGAGATACTTCATTCAACAATTCTTTTTAAAGCATATTTCTTCTTGTCTTAAGAACTCAACTCCAGATTAGTTTCTCATACTAAATTATTTCCATTTACATTTCATGGGTAAGTTTAAAAACATATTCTGGTGATTAACCATTTTCCAGCTCTCATCCTGAAAGGGAAATAAAAATGATTTCTTATATACCTTCACCCTTTCTTGAAAGTATTATAGATGTTTGAAACAAAAGCCTGCAATAACACGGCTCTTTGCAATTTCGGCAGAAAAGGTACATACCCTGTGTTGTTTTCCATTAATGGTTACCAGTGAAAATACATAAGGAAATGTATCTAATTTTCATATTTTCTCTAAGCATTGAGGTCCTCACAGGTCTTTCAGTTACAAGATAAACCTAAAGAAAATTTCATCATCTGTGTGTGATTCCTACCCAGAAATAAAGTATTACATGCAGAATTGTTTAGAGCTCTTGAAAATGCTGTCATCATCAGTTTAAGTTTAGATTTATGTTATTTGTGTTTACATTATTTAATTTTACATCTATTTTATTTACATTCAGTAAATATAGCTACCAATCTTCCCTCCAAATAACTCACCCTCTCCCATTTTTAATTATATGTAAAAAATATACATAAACATGTCAAAGGCAGAAACTATGAAATTTAATTATCATTGAAAATGTCATCTGAAATCCTAATTTTTCAGTTTTAATGGCAGACTAAAAGAATCCATCCATCCCTAGATGTCTATCAAAGGAACACTTATTCCATTTAATCTGTGCTCACCAGAAAAATATAAAAAAAATCCAAAAGAAAAACAATTAAGTACCACTTGATTAAAGGTCAGATAGTACATTATTTTTATATAATGGTTAAAGTTATTATTTATCTATCTACTTTGAAATTTGCAATAATACCTAGAATAATATTTGAAGAAAAAAGACCTGAAGTCACTGACAGCCAATTAAAGTTTCTCTCAATATGATTTTTTTAATGTTCTGATCAACAAGAACAACTAAACATAAGTTTTGGCTTAGTAATTAAAGCATTAGTTGAACAAATTGAGGAAATGCAGGAGTGAATCAAAATTATATTTGAAAACTATTTTATATAATTATATAAGAAATAAAATTAGGATTATTCAGTTAAATTTCAAGAAAGACATAATAATAAGATACAAGAATGTTGTGGGGTTTTGCACAACATTCCAATAATGTTCCTCATTACTTTCATTTCTACACATTTATTGCACATTTAATACTTAACTTTTTAGTTATACTAAGCAAAGTAAATGACTGTGGTATTCATCTATTTACTGTGTGGTTAATGTAATGAATAGAATGTGCTCTACGTGCAAAAAACCAGATTCAAATATTTAATCAGTAGTTGCCAAACTATTTAAAGTTATTTTTCTCAAAAACTATGTCAGTTGTGTGGAACTTTTATAAAAATAGAAATTTTGTGTTCATTAGTTTTCATTACTAATGTAACTTTAAATTGCAAGACTAAAGCAGCTGGCAACTAGAGCCAAATTTCACAAGTCACATTTATCAGTCCACAAATATTGACATTATGGCTCTATCTCACTTGACTTGTGAAATTCTACTATTCCTGAATTCCAAGGTACCATGATAGGCTTATAAAAACTTTGCTGACACATTTGTCCTTACCATGTAAAAAAATCAAATGAGTTGCATTTTACTAACAGATCAACAGTACAATTTAGGTTTCTTGGTAAAGTCTTTGTAGATATTTTTCCCAGAAAAGCCCTAAATACAAAATAGACCAGTCATATTGTCCATAACAGTATCTAGTTTTTATATTTACTATAAATCAACGTTCACAGGCTTGCTCTATAAATATGATCCCAATGTTTTCTAAGTCAAACATATCCTCATAAAATTCTGAGATCCTACAGTTTTGCTCTAACATTAAGCTCTCAATTTCTTACAATATGTGAATTTATATTTTTACATTACATTTTTTGGGTACATTACATTTACATTTCTAGTAGAGTAAATATTCTTTATTTGCAACTTTGCAAAGTACTAGGAATAAATGGGCTTTAGAAAGCACACATCATAAAATAGAAAATTAGCATAATATGAACACCCTGTTACAAAACGCAGCCCAAGAACGAAGCATTTGCCAAGAAAGCACTCTAATTTTACCATTCCCTTCTTACTTATTTCTCCTGTCTCCACAGGATGTACACAGGCAACAAAGAAAGGAAAATCAACATCTCTGTTCCACTAATATATCTTTACTTTCAATAGTATATGTGGTAGAGAGACCATTCTACCTTGTAAGTGGATGATAACAAGGATCTGAGGAATGTGGCCAAAGTCTCAAATTTATCCCCATATGTTCCTCGGTAATATCCCAAGCAAGAACAGCTCTGCCTCGCCCATACAGTTTCTGTAATAGAACTGTTACCTTAAAATTAACCTAGCCTGTAATTTTAGGGAAGAAAATCAGTAACCTAATTCTATTCAGGATAAAATAAGTTAATAAAACAATTAGAACTCAATGAGTTTCAGTGATGACTAGAGATATTTAATTATTGAAATACCATGACTACATCTAATACTTCATGGTTTGTTACATTTTTGTTTATCATGTGCTCTGCATGACCAGCCTATGAGACTGGGAGGTCAAAGTTTACCACAGCTTACAAATAAGGAAACTGAGGGTCAGAGAATTTAAGCAAATTGCTTAAGTTCATCTGGGTAGCAACAAAAGAGAGGTAGAAGCCAAGCCTGTTAATGATGCTTTCAGCACTATTTCTACCACTGGTGAATCCATTTCTTTAGATTTAATTTCACAAGATACTTACTAGTAAACAACTTTTCAAAAAAGCACCTATTATGTGGTTTCACTATGCTCAAAACAATGCTTAAATCCTTTACTGTTTCCTTATCAAAACATGGCCAGAGGTGGTGGCTCATGCCTGTAATCCAATGCTTTTGGAGGCCAGGGCAGGAAGATCACTCGATGCCAGGACACCATGGAATACTATGCAGCCATAAAAAATGATGAGTTCATGTCCTTTGTAGGGACATGGATAAAGCTGGAAACCATCATTCTCAGCAAACTATCGCAAGGACATAAAACCAAACACCGCATGTTCTCACTCATAGGTGGGAATTGAACAATGAGAACACATGGACACAGGAAGGGGAACATCACACACTGGGGCCTGTTGTGGGGTGGGGGGAGGGGGGAGGAATAGCATTAGGAAATATACCTAATGTTAAATGACGAGTTACTGGGTGCAGCACACCAACATGGCACATGTATACATATGTAACTAACCTACACGTTGTGCACATGTACCCTAAAACTTAAAGTATAATAAAAAATAAAAATAATAAAATAAAAAATAATAATAAAAAAAACACCCTGGGCAACATAATGAGATCCCATTTCTACAAAAGCAAACAATTAGTTGGGCCTGGTGGTGCATGCCTTTAGTCCCAGCTACTTGAGAGGCGGAGGCAGGCAGATCCCTTGAGCCTAGGTGTTGCAGGCTGCAGTGAACTATGATCAGGCCACTGCACTCCAGCCTGGGTGACAGAGAGAAAGATTAAATAATTATTAAATTATTTAATAATTAAATAAAGATCAAAAATTATAATAAAAGAAAGGAAAAAAGAAAACACCATCTGACGAATGCCCCTAAAATTTTTGAGATTTCACTTATAGTACTTCTAGTATATATATTTTTATTTTATAAGTTAAGAAAAGCTGTAAAGGAATGATTTGTTCTTCTCTGGATGTTGCCAATCTCCTATTTTACTACTAAACATGCTGGTGCTACATATGAGGGTAGAACAAGTGGTGTGTTATTATAAAATGAACGCAGGCTGTAATTTTGAACCTGAACTAGGAAACTCTGCAGAGTAATACCAAATCAGTAACAATGAGAAATTTATTTAGGACTTTCCTTTATAGTTTGAAACCTGAAGATAGTAACATCTATTTTTCCAAACCCTAAAAATATACCCAGTCAGATAAATGTTGGTAGTTAACAGCCAACCTCCACAAGTAAAGGTATTTCATCCTCTGAATAAGTCTAAATAGGAAAAAATACATTTTTTAAAAAAAAGTATACCCATCAAAAGCTGTTGGTCTATTTGTTAAGGAAACTGAGAAAAATATAAGGAGAAAGAGAATCTGTACAAATAAAAAAAGAAGAAAATCTACTCTCTGCCTCTCTCCATCCTCAACCCTTTATAATCTCATTTCTACTCACAACACTAAAAGAATATTCTCTGCATAAAATAAATGACATTATTTGGTAGCTTGTTTTCATTCTGTTCCATTTGACCTCTCAGCAGCATGTGATCTGCATATAGTTTCTCTATTTCTTAACACTATGCCCTTGGCTTCCAGAACAATTATCTTTCCACACTGCATTCCCTGGTGTATTCTTTCTTTCTATTCACCGGCTTAAATGTCCATGTTACCTTTATTAGTCTTGCTAGTGGTCTATCAACTTTGTTGATCTTTTCAAAAAACCAGCTAATAAAGAAGAAAAGAGAGAAGAATCAAATAGATGCAATAAAAAATGATAAAGGGGATATCACCACCAATCCCACAGAAATGCAAACTACCATCAGAGAATACTATAAACACCTCTACGCAAATAAACTAGAAAATCTAGAAAAAAGGGATAAATTCGTCGACACATACACCCTCCCAAGACTAAACCAGGAAGAAGTTGAATCTCTGAATAGACCAATAACAGGTTCTGAAATTGAGGCAATAATTAATAGCTTACCAACCAAAAAAAGTCCAGGACCAGAGGGATTCACAGCCGAATTCTACCAGAGGTACAAGGAGGAGCTGGTATCATTCCTTCTGAAACTATTCCAATCAATAGAAAAAGAGAGAATCCTCCCGAACTCATTTTATGAGGCCAGCATCATCCTGATACCAAAGCCTGACAGAGACACGACAAAAAAAGAGAAGTTTAGACCAATATCCCTGATGAACATTGATGCAAAAATCCTCAATAAAATACTGGCAAACCGAATCCAGCAGCACATCAAAAAGCTTATCCACCATGATCAAGTGGGCTTCATCCCTGGGATGCAAAGCTGGTTCAACATACAAAAATCAATAAATGTAATCCAGCATATAAACAGAACCAATGACAAAAACCACGATTATCTCAATAGATGCAGAAAAGGCCTTTGACAAAATTCAACAACCTTCATGCTAAAAACTCTCAATAAATTAGGTATTGATGGGACATATCTCAAAATAATAAGAACTATCTATGACAAACCCACAGCCAATATCATACTGAATGGGCAAAAACTGGAAGCATTCCCTTTGAAAACTGGCACGAGACAGGGATGCCCTCTCTCACCACTCCTATTCAACATAGTGTTGGAAGTTCTGGCCAGGGCAATCAGGCAGGAGAAGGAAATAAAGGGTATTCAATTAGGAAAAGAGGAAGTCAAATTGTCTCTGTTTGCAGATGACATGATTATATATCCAGAAAACCCCATCGTCTCAGCCCAAAATCTCCTTAAGCTAATAAGCAACTTCAGCAAAGTCTCAGGATATAAAATCAAAGTGCAAAAATCACAAGCATTCTTATACACCAATAACAGACAAGCAGAGAGCCAAATTATGAGTGAACTCCCATTCACAATTGCTTCAAAGAGAATAAAATACCTAGGAATCCAACTTACAAGGGATGTGAAGGACCTCTTCAAGGAGAACTACAAAGCACTGCTCAAGGAAATAAAAGAGGATACAAACAAATGGAAGAACATTCCATGCTCATGGGTAGGAAGAATCAATATCGTGAAAATGGCCATACTGCCCAAGGTAATTTATAAATTCAATGCCATTCCCATCAAGCTACCAATGACTTTCTTCACAGAATTGGAAGAAAACTACTTTAAAGTTCATATGGAACCAAAAAAGAGCCCGCATTGCCAAGTCAATCCTAAGCCAAAAGAACAAAGCTGGAGCCATAACGCTACCTGATTTCAAACTATACTACAAGGCTACAGTAACCAAAACAGCATGATACTGGTACCAAAACAGAGATATAGACCAATGGAACAGAATAGAGCCCTCAGAAATAATGCCACATATCTACAACTATCTGATCTTTGACAAATCTGACAAAAACAAGAAATGGGGAAAAGATTCCCTATTTAATAAATGGTGCTGGGAAAACTGGCTAGCCATATGTAGAAAGCTGAAACTGGATCCCTTCCTTACACCTTATACAAAAATTAATTCAAGATGGATTAAAGACTTAAATGTTAGACCTAAAACCATAAAATCCCTAGAAGAAAACCTAGGCAATACCATTCAGGACATAGGCATGGGCAAGGACTTCATGTCTAGAACACAAAAAGCAACGGCAACAAAAGCCAAAATTGACAAATGGGATCTAATTAAACTCAAGAGCTTCTGCACAGCAAAAGAAACTACTGTCAGAGTGAACAGGCAACCTACAGAATGGGAAAAAATTTTTGCAATCTCTCATCTGACAAAGGGCTAATATCCAGAATCTACAATGAACTCAAACACATTTACAAGAAAAAAACAAACAACCCCATCAAAAAGTGGGCAAAGGACATGAACAGACACTTCTCAAAAGAAGACATTTATGCAGCCAAAAAACACATGAAAAAATGCTCGCCATCACTGGCCATCAGAGAAATACAAATCAAAACCACAATGAGATACCATCTCACACCAGTTAGAATGGCGATCATTCAAAAGGAAACAACAGGTGCTGGAGAGGATGTGGAGAAATAGGAACACTTTTACACTGTTGGTGGGACTGTAAACTAGTTCAACCATTGTGGAAGTCTGTGTGGCAATTCTGCAGGGATCTAGAACTAGAAATACCATTTGACCCAGCCATCCCATTACTGGGTATATACTCAAAGGATTATAAATCATGCTGCTATAAAGACACATGCACATGTATGTTTATTGTGGCACTATTCACAATAGCAAAGACTTGGAACCAACCCAAATGTCCACCAATGATAGACTGGATTAAGAAAATGTGGCACATATACACCATGGAATACTATGCAGCCATAAAAAATGATGAGTTCATGTCCTTTGTAGGGACATGGATAAAGCTAGAAACCATCATTCTCAGCAAACTATCACAAGGACACAAAACCAAACACCACATGTTCTCACTCATAGGTGGGAATTGAACAATGAGAACACATGGACACAGGAAGGGGAACATCACACACCGGGGACTGTTGTGGGGTGAGGGGAGGGATAGCATTAGGAGATATACCTAATGTTAAATGACGAGTTAATGGGTGCAGCACACCAATATGGCACATGTATACATATGTAACAAACCTGCACGTTGTGCACATGTACCCTAAAACTTAAGTATAATTTTAAAAAAAAGTCCATGTTACCTGGAAAGGATCAAACTGTTTATAAGAGACTCTGAGTCCCAGAATCAAGCTCAAGAATATTTATAGGAGTAAAAACAAAAATATACAGCATCCAACAAACTAAAATCACCATGTCTGGCACCTAATCAAAAATTAGTAGGCATGCAGATAAGCAGAAAAGTAAAAGCCATAAAGAGGGGGAAAAGTCAGTCATTGAAACCAACTTAGAAATGACACAGATGACAGAATTAGGAGACAAGCACATTAAAACAGTTACTATTACCATATTCCATATATAAGAAAACAAGAGGAAAAATTGACTGTTTTGCATAGACATAAAAGACATACCAACAACCCAAATCAAAGTTCCATATGCGAAAACTACATGTCTGAAATGAAAAATATGCTAGATAAGACTAAAAGTATATTAAATGCTGCACAAGAAAGTATTAGTGAGCCTGAAGTCATAGCAAAGTATCCAAAGTAAAACACAAAGAGAAAAAAGACTGAAAACCAATGAAGTTATCAGTAAGCTGTGCAACAACTTCAAGTTGCCTGATATATGTATAATTATAAGTCCCTAAAACAAGAAGAGACGGGGGAAGATAAAAAAAATATTTGAAGAAATAAAGGCTAATTTTTTTTCAAATTTGATGAAAACTATAAACTCACAGATCTAAGAAGCTTAACAAATTCCAAGCGAAAAATAAAAATAAATAAAGACAATACACTCAAGCATATCATAATCAAATTGCTTAAGACCAATCCTAAAAAGAAAATCTTTGAGGCATCTAGAAGTGTAAGTTTTTTTTTAATAATAATAAAATATCTTTTCTCATGGTCATGTTTCCTAAAACCAATCTACAGTCCTACTGCTATACCCCTTCCAATTAGGACCAATATTTTACCTTTAAATTAAAAATCCATTTGTATATGTCTTTCAGAAGTGGGACTGGGAGTATGTTGAAGCAAGAGAAGCTTCTCTGGCATAACTTTTTTTATTTTATTTTATTTTATTTTATTTTATTTTATTATTTTATTTTATTTTATGACAGGGTCTCACTCTGTCACTTAGACTGGAGTGCAGTGGTATAATCATAGTTCACTGCAGCCTCAACCTCCTGGGCTCAAGTAACCCTCCCACCTCAGCCTCTCTAGTAACTAGGACTACAAGTATGAACCAACAACACACGGCTAATTTTTTCTTTTTTTAAGACAGGGTCTCACTATGTTGCCCAGGCTGATCTTGACCTCCTCAATCCTCCTGCCTCAGCCTCCTAAGTAGCTCTATGGCACAAAATTTAAGGAGGCACTTGCCTTACCCTGAGAAAGAGTGTCTCCTTAAATTTCACTGTAGAAACCTCTCTTGCCTCACCCTAGTCTTGCTTTGTTCTGCAGCAATCATCAGAGTATCCCTTTTAATGAGTTTTGCTGACAAATATTAGAATATCATAAAGAAATAATTATTCCTGGAAATTGTCTTGTATCCTAGAATCTGTTTTAAAAAAAATTTAATTCCTCTCATTTAAAAACAAACATAAATTCAGCACTTTTTAAATGTCAGACACCTTTGAGTTTCCAGAGGATACAACAAAATACAAGAGCTTTACCTCAAAATATTCATGTCTAGGAAATAAGATTACAAAGTGAACACTTATTTAAAATGATAAGTTTTGAAGGGAGGTATGGACTAGATGCTGTGGGGGCATTAGGAAGAGAGGGCCTAACACTGGCCCTGAGAAGAGGGTTACAGGAAAAGGCTTTCCAGGGAGAGCTTTCCCTCTACAGTAGCAGATGCAAATTCATGACTGCTGAGCAAATACAAGAAAAAAGTCATAGTGCATGTACAATGATAAATGGTAATTAACACTACATGTCAGTGACCAGGGAGAAGAGGGAGAGATGAGAGCTATTGCAAACTAGAGTATTGCCCAAAGAGCACCATCACTCAATTCAGCTAATTGTTGCTACGTGGGAAAGAAGGTTCACTATGGTCAGATATTTCAATTTTCCAGAGGTTGGAAATCTGAATTTTTGTGTGAAAACTATCAACTATTAAATACTTGCCATTAATCCATACTTTTAAAAAACACCATGCAGGCCAAACAAAATATAACTGTAGGCCAGATTCAGAACACCAGCTGGCTATTTAAAATATCTACTCTATACTTCTCTCTGACCCCTGGAGAAATTTAGGAATTCAGGATCCAAGCATTTGGATGAATACACTTCTCAAAACCACTGAGATAGCATTTCTTTGTTTGACAGTATTTCTTCCTATCCACTGCACTCCAGCCTAGGCGACAGAGTGAGACTCCGACTCAAAAAAAAAAAAGAATACCAAACAGAGTTTTTTTTATTCATTCAGGTCATCCTTCAAGATCTTTCTGAGTTTTTAGTTTGAATTAATAACAACAACAAAACAATAGAAATGACTGTTAGCAGAGACGTAAATCTAGAATTCCCTATAACAAAGATCCTTCTAATGCACTGAAATACTATGCACCAGGCACCTGCATGACAAGCACATGAAACAGACAAAACTCCTAAAGGAGTTTATAGTTGGCATGGGGTACACAGACAATTAACAATAAGCATAATATATGTGTCTTTTCCCGTTTGTGCTGCTATGACAAAATACCTGAGACTGGGTTATTTATAAAGAACAGAAACTTATTTCTCACAGTTCTGGAAGCTGGGAAGTCCAAGATTAAGGCACTGACAGGGTTAGTGTCAGGGGAAGTTCAGTTCCTCATAGAAGACTCCATCTAGGTGTTCTTATATAGTAGAAGGGATGGGAAGGCAAAAGGGCAAACTGTCTCTGAAGCCTCTTTTGTAAGGGTATTCTATTCATGTGGATGTAAGGGTATTCCACTCATGAACTTAATCACTTCCGCAAAGACCCCACCTCTTAATACCATCACAAGGAGGATTAACTTCCAACATGAAGCTTGGAGGGAACACATTCAAACCATAGCAATAAGGTATGCCTGCAAATGATAAGTGCTATTAAAAGAGGGAAGACAGACTAAGGGAAGATAGGAAGTACATGGTGGTTGAGATTATAATTTCAAATTGGGTAGTCAAAGTAGGTCTCACTAGGAAAGGGATATTTAGGGGAAGATTTAAAGGAGGCAAAGAACATGACTATATTATTCTAAAAACGTATGCATAATCAATCATTTTTAAATGTGTGAATTATTAATTTTCTAAATATTCTAACTAATTCTCTAATTATTAATCCTCATTTTTGGTTGGTAGGCTATTTATTGCTGCATCAATTTCAGAACTTGTTATTGGTCTATTCAGGGATTCAGCTTCTTCCTGGTTCAGTCTTGGGAGGGTGTATGTGTCCAGGAATTTATCCATTTCTTCTAGATTTTCTAGTTTATTTGCATTGAGGTGTTTATAATATTATCTGATGGTTGTTTGTATTTCTGTGGGGTCAGTGGTGATATCCCCTTTAACACTTTTTTTGTGTCTATTTGATTCTTCTTTCTTTTCTTCTTTATTGGTCGAGCTAGCAGTCTATCTATTTTATTAATATTTTTCAAAAAAAATGGCTCCTAGATTCATTGGCTTTTCGAAGGGCTTTTCATGTCTCTATCTCCTTCAGTTCTGCTCTGATCTCAGTTATTTCTTGTCTTCTACTAGCTTTGGGGTTTGTTTGCTTTTGGCTCTCTGGTTCTTTTAGTCATGATGTTAGGGTATCAATTTGAGATCTTTCTAGCTTTTTGATGTAGGCATTTAGTGCTATAAATTTCCCTCTTAACACTGCTTTAGCCATGTCCCAGAGATTCTGGTACATTGTCTCTTTGTTCTCATTGGTTTCAAAGAACTTCTTGATTTCTGCCTTAATTTCATTATTTACCCAGGAGTCATTCAGGAGCAGGTTGTTCAATTTCCATGTAGTTGTGTGGTTTTGAGTGAGTTTCTTAATCTTGAGTTCTAATATGATTTGTGCTGTGGTCTGAGAGACTGTTATGAATTCAGCTCTTTTGCATTTGCTGAGGAGTGTTTTACTTTCAATTATGTGATCAATTTTAGAGTAAGTGCCATGTGGCGCTGAGAAGAATGTACATTCTCTTGTTTTCAGGTGGAGAGTTCTGTAGATATATATCAGGTCCACTTGATCCAGAGCTGAGTTCAAGTCCTGAATATATTTGTTAATTTTCCATCTCAATGATCTATCTAATGTTGACAGTGGGGTGTTAAAGTCTACCATTATCATCGTGTGGGAGACTAAGTCTCATTGTAGGTCTCTAAGAACTTGTTTTATAAATCTGATTGCTCTTGTATTGCATGAATATATATTTAGGACACTTAGCTCTTCATGTTGAATTGATCCCTTTACCATTATGTAATGCCCTTCCTTATCTTTTTTTGATCTTTGTTGGTTTAAAGTCTATTTTATCAGAAACTGGAATTGCAACCCCTGCTTTTTTCTGCTTTCCATTTTCTTGGTAAATTTTCCTCCATTCCTTTATTTTGAGCCTATGTGTGTCTTTGCACATGAGATGGGTCTCTTGAATACAGCACACCAATGGGTCTTGATTCTTTATCCAGCTTGCTACCAAAAAAATCCCAGGACTTGACAGATTTACAGCTGAATTCTATCAGAGGTACAAAGAGGAGTTGGTACCATTTCTTCTGAAACTCTTCCAAGCAACTGAAAAGGAGGAACTTCTCCCTAACTCATTTTATGAGGCCAGCATCATCCTGATACCAAAACCTGGAAGAAATACAACAACAATAAAAAATACTTGAGGCCAATATCCCTGATGAACATCAATGGAAAAATCCTCAATAAAATACTGGCAAACCAAATCCAGCAGCACAGCAAAAAGCTTATACAGCACAATCAAATCAAATTCCTCCTTAGGATGCAAAGCTGGTTCAACATATGTAAACCAATAAATGTAATTCATCACATAAACAGAACTAAAGAGAAAAACCATGATTATCTCAATAGATGCAGAAAAGGCCTTCGATAAAATTCTATATCCCTTCATGTTAAAAACTCTCAATAAGCTAGGTATTGATGGAATATGCCTCAAAATAATAAAAGCCATTTATAACAAACCCACAGCCAATATTATACTCAATGTGCAAAAGCTGGAAGCATTCCCTTTGAAAACCAGCACAAGACAAGGATGCCCTCTCTTACCACTCCTATTTAACATAGTATTGGAAGTTCTGGCAGTGGCAATCAGGCAAGAGAAAGAAATATAGGTTATTCAAATAAGAAGAGAGGAAGTCAAATTGTCTTTGTTTCTAGATGACATAATCTATATCTAGAAAACCCCACTGTCTCAGCCCAAAAGCTTCTTAAGCTAATAAACAACTTCAGCTAAGTCTCATGATGCAAAATCAATGTGCAACAATCACAAGCATTCCTATACACCAACAATAGACAAGCAGAAAGACAAATTGTGAATGAACTCCCATTCACAACTGCTACAAAGAGAATAAAATACCTAGGAATACAGCTAACAAGGCAAGTGAAGGACCTCCTCAAGAAGAACTACAAACCACTGCTCAAGGAAATAAGAAAGGATACAAACAAATGGAAAAATATTCCATGCTCATGAATAGGAAGAATCAATATTCTTAAATGGCCTTATTGCCCAAAGTAATTTATAGATTCAATGCTATTCCCATTAAACTACCATTGACATTCTTCACAGAATTAGAAAAAAACTACTTTAAAATTCATATGCAACCAAGAATCCTAAGCAAAAAGAACAAAGCTGGAGGCATCACACTACCTGACTTCAAACTATACTACAAGACTACAGTAACCAAAACAGCGTGGTGCTGGTACAAAAACAGACACATAGACCAATGGAACTGCATAGAGACCTCAGAAATAAGACCACACATCTAGAACCATCTGATCTTTGATAAACTTAACAAAAACAAGGAATGGGGAAAGGATTCCCTATTTAACAAATGGTGCTGGGAAAACTGGCTATCCATATGCAGAAAAATGAAACTGGATATCTTCTTTACACCTTATAAAAAAATTAACTCAAGATGGAGTAAAGACTTAAATGTAAAGCCCAAAACTATACAAACCCAAGAAGAAAACCCAATAACATTCAGGACATAAGCATGTCAAAGCAATTGCAACAAAAGCAAAAATTGACAATTGGGATCTAATTAAACTAAAAAGCTTCTGCACAAAAAAAGAAACTATTATCAGAGTGAACAGACAACCTACAGAATAGGAGAAAAATTTTGCAATCTATCCATCTGACAAAGGTCTAATAACCAGAATCTATAAGGAACTTGAACAAATTTACAAGAAAAAAACCCCATTAAAAAGTGGGCAAAGGACATGAA
The DNA here is from genome assembly GCF_000001405.40 of Homo sapiens. Taxonomy (NCBI): domain Eukaryota; kingdom Metazoa; phylum Chordata; class Mammalia; order Primates; family Hominidae; genus Homo; species Homo sapiens. Next base: position 97,212,149 of record NC_000005.10, on the reverse strand, counting down.
CAGACACTTCTCAAAAGAAGACATTTATATGGCCAACAAACATTTAAAAATGCTCAACATCACTGATCATTAGAGATATGCAAATAAAAACTACAATGAGATACCATCTCACATCAGTCAGAATGGTGATTATTAAAAAGTTGAGAAACAGCAGATACTGGTGAGGCTGTAGAGAAAAAGGAACACTTTTACACTGTTGGTGGGAATGTAAATTAGGTCAACCATTGTGGAAGACAGTGAGGTGATTCCTCAAAGACCTAGAACTAGAAATACCATCTGACCCAGCAATCCTATTACTGGGTATATACCCAAAGAAATATAAATTATTCTATTATAAAAATACATGCACATGTATGTTCACTGCAGCACTATTCACAACGGCAAAGACATGGAATCAACCCAAATGCCTATGAATGATGGAATGGATAAAGAAAATGTGGGTACATATACACCATGGAATACTATGCAGCCATAAAAAGGAAAGAGATCATGTCCTTTGCAGGGACATAGAAGGAGCTGGAAACCATTATCCTCAGCAAACTAACACAGGAACAGAAAACCAAACACCACATATTCTCACTTATAAGTGGGAGCTGAACAATGAGAACACATGAACACAGGGAGGGGAACAACATACTCTGGGGCCTGTAGGAGTGGGGGGAATGGGGGAGGGAGAACATCAGGATAAATAATGTGATGGTTAACACTGTCAACTTGATTGGACTGAAGGATACAAAGTATGGATCCTGAGTGTGTTTGTGACATTAACATTTGAGTCAGTGGGCTGGGGAAGGCAGACCCACCTTTAATCTGGTGGGCACAATCTAATCAGGTGCCAGCGAATATAAAACAGAAAAATGTGAAAAGGCAAGACTGGCCTAGCCTTCAGCCTACATCTTTCTCTCATACTGGATGCTTCTTGCTTTCAAACATCAGACTCCAAGTTCTTCAGTTTTGAGACTCAGACTGGCTCTCCTTGCTCCTCAAGCTCGCAGATAGCCTATTGTGGGACCTTGTGATCAGGTAAGTTAATACTTCCTAAACTCCCATATATATCCTATTAGTTCTATCCCTCTAGGGAACCCTAATACAAATACCTAATGCATGTGGGGCTTAATACCTAGGCAATGTGTTGCTAGGTACAGCAAACCACCATGGCACACGTTTACCTATGTAACAAACTTGCATGTCCTGCACATGTATCCCAGAACTTAAAATAAAATAAAAAGAAATCCTAATTTTAATCATATTTTTTTCCTTACTCTTTCTTACTTGAAAATTTGTTTTTATGCAATTGATGAGAAATGATGATGGAAAAGAAAAGTAAAAAAGAACACTGTCATTTAGTGAGTACTCAATAAATATATTTTAAATAAATATCTTATGAGGCCAATTAAAGTAGCATGTTTGAATTTTAGAGATGAACCTTCACCAACTTAAGTATCTTTTTGAAATAATTCATTTAATAATGTTGTCTCTCTAAAATCACTTACAAATGTGACCAATTTTTTAACGTAACATACAAATATGACTATCATCCTAAGTAGACCAGAAGACTTGTAGTTCTCGTGGAACAAGATAACCATAGACTATGCATGTTTTTATAGAAAAGTGTGATAAAAAGATCTGATAAAGAAGATTCTTAGGAATAATTACATGGATTTTTCAGTAGTACTCAAATCTCTGTTTTGTGCTCCAGAAATAAGAAATTATACAACCAGACCATCTAAATAATAAAAAAGCAAGAAAAATAAAGAAATGATAAAAATCATACAAAGTTAGAAACGTTCAACAGAGAAAAATGAATCATAAAATAGAACTATGAACTCTTTACCAGTTCTGAAAAATGTTCAAGCTGAATTGTAAAATAAATGTTCAAATATTTTAATATCCTCCCCAACAGATTTCAGTATTTCCCTGAACCAATATTATGTACAAGTAATTTATATTTCTGTGTCAAACACCTGCATGTTATAAATATATTAGCACAAAAACCTATTTTGAGGATTTTATTAAATCAGAAGTATGTACTAGTGCACTTCCATTTAGTTGAAGAAGTTAACACAAGAGTTGTTGGCTAGTTATAGTACAAAACTGAGCCAGGAAAAACATTCATTTATTTATATACTGTAGCACCTGAAAATGTTTCATTTACACTGTGCCCAGGACCACAAAATTTATCAAATAAATTTCAAGATTCTCCCATCCAAGTAAAGGCTACATTTCTAAAGACATTGTAAAATTAGGTTAATTTTTAAAATAAAAAAATTAGCAGTACATAATTGTATCTAAAAACAAAAGGAAAAGAAATTATACTTTGCAAATGATGAAAATAATAGTAACGTATAGAAGATTTTATAAAATAAAATATCTTACACTGAAATTGAGGAAATAATAATCCAAAGAAAATTTTATGCAAAAAAAAAAAATCAAGACTGTATATGATAAAGCTAAAAAGCCAGAGGGCCCAAGCACAAAACAAGTTTATATTATTGTAACAAACATGTAAGAAGACCTGAAATTTTTTATTTTAAAATTACTATTTATTTATAATACTTAGAATCAGCCTGTCCATTTAATATGAAAAAAAAAAATTACGTCATCAGATCATGGAGGATGAGAGGCAGGACTAGACTGCAACTTTGACTCAACAGACAAAGCAGCATGTGGAAGCTCACATCATGATTTATTCTCCAGAATGACTTCAGGAATAAATCAGGAAACCTGAAAGGACCCACAGACCCTCTGAAGGAAGCAGGTTGCTCCCGCAGGACCTGGGAGACACCCCAAATACTGTGAGTGCCCAAATTTTTGGAAATGGGAGAGGGAGATCATCCGCCCCTGAACACATGCCCCCACTGGGGAAACTGAAGGTCTAGATTATGGGAGAAGATTCCAACCTTACCTGGAGCTGACTCTATTTAGAGCTGAGCAAAATATAGGCGTAGAGGAAACAGGGGAAAAGCCCTGTGAGCTCATTGGGCCTTCTAGCAAACCATTTCTGCCTGGCCTCACAGGGGTCCTTTGGCAGGGCAGCTAGAGGCACTGGGGAAAGGCCACAGAGAGAAGGAAATCTCCAGCTGAACTTTTTAACAATTTGAACTGATTGAGAAGTCTCCTGGCCAGAACTCAGGGGAGGGCATGAGTCTGGTGTACAGACTCCAGAGCCAGGGAAAGAAGGAAAGCCATACTTGCTTTTGTAGCTAGGAGGTGGATAGCCTGGGGCAAGTTCTCAGCCCTGTTCCTCCACTGCCCAGAAACAGACTTGGTGCTGTTGGGGGGAGGGGCACGGTGGGAGTGAGACCAGCCCGTCAGATTGTGTGAGAGCTGGTGAGGCCTGTGACTGCCAGCTTTCCTCCACTTCCCTGACAACCTGCATGACACAGTAGAGGCAGCCATAATCCTCCTAGTAACATAACTCCATTGACCTGGGAACCTCCTCCCATACCCCACAGCAGCTGCAGCAAGACCTGCCCAAGGAGAGTCTGAGCTCAGACATGCCTAGCCCTGACCCCACCCAACAGTCCTTCCCTACCCACCCTGGTAACTGAAATCAAAGGGCATATACTCGGGAGTTCTAGGGCCCTACTCACAGCCTCTGTTCCTCCCCATACTACCACAGCTGAGGCTCTCTGGAAAGTTCCACCTCCCAGCAGGGGGCCAACCAACACAAAAATGAAGCTAAGAACCCTCACAGAGTCCATTTCACCCCCTGCCACCTCCACCGAAACAGGTGCTGGTATCCACGGCTGAGAGACCCACAGACAGTTTACATCACAGGACTCTACGCAGACAACTCCCAGTACCAGCCCGAAGCCTGGTAGACTTGCTGGGTGGCTAGATCCAGAAGCGAGATAACAATTACTATACCTCAGCTCTCAGGAAAAGGGGGAGGGTGCTACATCAAGGGAACACCCCATTGGACAAAAGAATCTGAACAACATCTTCAGCCCTAGACCTTCCCTTTAACAGAGCCTACTAAAATGAGAAGGAACCAGAAAACCAACTCTGGTAATATGACAAAACAACGCTGGTTAACACCCCCAAAAAATCACAATAGCTCACCAGCAATGGACCCAAACCAAGAAGAATCCCCGATTTATCTGAAAAATAACTCAGGAGGTTAGTTATTAAGCTAATCAGGGAGGCACCAGAGAAAGGTGAAGCCCAACGTAAGGAAATAAAAAAAAAAAATGATACAAGAAGTGAAGGGAGAACTATTCAACGAAATAGATAGCATAAATAAAAAACAATCAAAACTTCCAGAAACAAAGGACACACAGAAATGCAAAGTGCTCTGAAAAGTCGCAGCAATCACAGCAATAGAATCAAATAAGAAGAAATTCAGAGCTCGAAGACAAGGTCTTTGAATTAACCCAATCCAACAAAGACAAAGAAAAAAATAAGAAAATATGAACAAAGCCCAGCTGAGAATCAAATTAAGAACTCAACCCCTTTTACAATAGCTGCAAAATAATAATAATAATAAAATACTTAGGAATATACCTAATCAAGGAGGTGAAAGACCTCTACAAGGAAAACTACACAATGCTGCTGAAAGAAATCATAGATAACACAAAGAAATGGAAAGACATCCCATGCTCATGAATGGGGAGAATCAATATTGTGAAAATGACCATACTGCCAAAAGCAATCTACAAATTCAGTGCAATTCCTATCAAAATACCTTAATCATTCCTCACAGAATTAGAAAAAACAATTCTAAAATTCATATGGAACCAAAAAAGAGCCTGCATAGCCAAAGCAAGATTAAGTAAAAGTAACAAATCTGGAGGCATTACACTACCTAATTTCAAACTATACTAAAGGCCATATTCATCAAAACACCATGGTACTGATATAAAAATAGGCACATAGACCAATGGAACAGAATAGAGAACCCAGAAATTAACCCAAATTCTTACAACCAACTGACTCGTTGAAAAAGCAAACAAAAAGATAAAGTGGGGACAGGACACCCTTTTCAACAAATTGTGCTGGGATAGCTGCCTAGCCACATGTAGGAGAATGAAATTGGATCCTCATTTCTCACCTTATAGAAAAACCAACTCAAGATACATTAAGGACTTAAACCTAAGACCTGAAACCATAAAAATCCTAGAAGATAACATTAGAAAAACCCTTCTAGACATTGGCTTAGGCAAAGAGTTCATGACCAAGAACCCAAAAGCAAATGCAATAAAAACAAAGACAAATAGGTGGTACTTAATTAAACTAAAGAGCTTTTTCATGGGAAAAGGAGCAGTCAGCAGAGTAAACAGAAAACCCACAGAGTGGGAGAAAATCTTCACAGTCTATACATACGACAAAGGACTAATATCCAGAATCTACAATGAACTCAAACAAATCAGCAACGAAAAAATAAACAATCCCATCAAAAAGTGGGGTAAGGACATGAATAGACAGTTCTCAAAAGAAGATATACAAATACCCAAAAAACATGAAAAAATGCTCAACATCACCAATGAACAGAGAAATCTAAATCAAAATCACAATGCGATACCACACTACTCCTGCAAGATTGGCCATAATCAAAAAAATCAAAAAATAGTAGATGTTGGCATGGATGCGGAGAACAGGGAACACTTCTACGCTGCTGGTGGGAATGTAAACTAGTACAACCACTATGGAAAACAATGTGGAGATTTCTTAAAGAACTAAAAGTAGAACTACCATCTGATCCAGCAATCTCACTACTGGGTTTATACCCAGAGAAAAAGAAGTCATTAAATGAAAAAGATACTTACACACACGTTTATAGCAGCACAATTTGCAATTGCAAAAACATGAAACCAACCCAAATGTCCATCAATCAAAGAAGTAGATAAAGAAACTGTATATATACAATGGAATACTACTCAGCCATAAAAATGAATGAATGGCATTCGCAGTGACCTGGATGAGATTCGAGACTATTATTCTAAGTGAAGTGACTCAGGAATGGAAAACCAAACATCGTTATGTTCTCACTCATAAGCAGGAGCTAAGCTATGAGGATGCAAAGGCATAAAAATGACACAATGCACTTTGGGGAATCAGGGGGAAAGGGCGGGAAGGGGTGAGGGATAAAACACTACAAATAGGGTGCAATGTACATTGCTTGGGTGATGGGTGCACCAAAATCTCACAAATCACCACTAAAGAACTTACTTTTGTAACCAAACACCACTTGTTCCCCAATAACCTATGGAAATAAAAAAATTTAAAAGCAAACGAATAAATAATAATAAATAAATGTCATCTAAATGCCCACAAGTAACAAGCATCCACAAAGATAGAGCCTAGCTAAAGTTTCATATCTCTATATTTTAGTAGTTCACAACTGGGGAACTACTAAATGTCCCCAGCAGACATGAGGCAATGTTTGGAGACATTTTTAGTTACCACAACTGGGGGGCAGAGGTAGTGCTACTAGCATCTAGTGGGTAGCCAGGAATGCTGCTAAACATCCTACAATGCAATGTCAACAGCACCGAGAATTATCCAGTCCAAACTGTCAATAGCACCAATGCTAAGACATTGCCACACAGATAGAAGCCTTTGTTTAAAAACCCCTCCCTGGGTCAAGCAACTATGATCAGAATAGCAAGATCAAGGAAAATGAAGGAGTGATGTCTGTAAGGAATCACTTGGAAGGGGACAATGTATTAGAATAGGAAATGATTGGCCTGTCTAATATGTCAAGACAACACAGAGCACCCTTTTTTTGGCTATCACATATTGCTTCTCATACCTCCATCCTTAGGACCTCTATTTGGCTAAAAATTAGTATGTCCTAATCTCTACGTTTCTCTTTTTTATTTTTCTTATGAATATATTCATACACACACAGAATATAATAGAATAATGTAGACATCACCCAGCTTTAAAAAAATATCAACATTGGGTCATTCTTCATTCATCTAGGCTTCTGCCACTTTTTTATTAGTTTTCCTTGGATCTCTAAAAGCAAATATCAGATAACATATTATTTCACTCATTAATATTTCAGTTTCTCCCCTATATATTTACACCTGAAGAAAGACGTTCAGGATGAACTGGGTATGATCAACCTAAGAAGTGGGCAACAATACAAAGAAATTAATCAGATAAAGCAAGAAGGCGAGAGAAAGGACCAAAGGAAGATCCCAGATCCAGACAGGAAGAAAAGTAAGCCCTTCATGTCTACAAGAAGTGAGCCAAGGGATACACACCAAAATATGGTAAAGGCCAAAGCATTTATGGTAGCTGCAGTCAGATAAAGATCCAATAGCTAAGACCCATATAGAAACTAAGGCAGAGAGAGATGATATCACATAGATGACAATGATAAGCCAAGTGCCTGGATCAGGAATGTTAATAAGTCCCAATGCTACTGCCAACTCTTAACAATTTGATAGCTACATGTAGTGCTACAGTAAGGATTCTGGCACTCCAAGGAGGGGGAAAAATCCAGGATGAGTGGGGAATAGGCAAATGGTAGCAACTATGCCACAGAGTTGTCCTATATTATCTGGGACTAAAGTAATAAAACCTGGAGAGGAAGCAAAGCTTCCATGTAAAAGGCAAACAATACCTGAGAATCCAGGAGGCCACGTTGAAGTCTGGTCTGCTCCTTGGCATTCTGCCTATTCCCTATGTAGGTTTCCCTACATTCACAAGTTTGGTCAAAAAATACTTAGAACCTAGGAGCTACATACCTTTCAAGTGTGCTATTACTATGTCAAAATAAAAGTCGAAAGCTAAGACTCCGCGTATGTACTTATGGGAAGGATTTTAAACCACTGGCTTAAATCAAAGTTCCTCAATTCATACACATACAGACCAGAGGAAAGACATGTACACCTGCTCTTCTGGTATTCAATCTCCAAAGAGCAGCCTGAATATTCTTTTCAAAATTCAAGTATGATCACGCCATTCCTTGCTTAAAACCCTTCAGTAATTCCCACTTTGCTCCCAAATGAAGTCCCAAATCCTAACACAGCCTGACTTGGCCCTTACCCACTTTCCTTCCTCTAATGGCACAGCAATCTGACTTACTCTCCATCCACATTGGCCTTTTCTTCCTTTCTCAAATAAGAATTATGCTCTTGTCATGCTCCAGGCACTGTGTTAAGCACTTTACATACATTCCACTTAATCCCCTTAAAATCTTATAGCATAAGTGTAATTATTATCTCAACAAGAAAGGCAAGTGCCTTACCATGAAAGAGCCAAGTACAGTGTCTAATAAAAGCTTCACTACACATACTTCAACTACAGCCTTCTGCAATACAGATTTGTCAAAAGTGCAAGAAATTTGATTTTAGATCACAAGTAAGCACTAGTCTCAAATCATTGGGTCATTTTTTTTTAATTAAGTTAGCTATGAAAATACAGTAATGCCCCCCACTTAACCCAGGTAAGACCTCTGATCATCTGTACCCTTGAACTAGAAGTTGACTTAAAAAAAAAACAGAAATAAAAAGGCTAAAAGCCCTATAGTGAAATCCATGAACTTTATATGATAGGACAAGCAGAGTTGCACGTAGGCTCCAACAATTAGGTGAACCGTATCATGGTAAATTACATGTGGACACAACAGCCAATGAGAAGTAAGAGCTGGTAGACAATTTAGAGAGTAGGCCAGATCTTGTCTTCTTTATATTTCTTCTGTACAATCTGAAAGCATTTGATTTTAATAAGTGATAATATAATATACTTAACAATATGTCAATGCATCACAGCTTAATTCAATATTTGAGATTCATAAAGCTAACCCTGAGTCAAATAGGACTTAAGCTGGGAAAGTATTGTGCAAATATTTTCACTCTAAATAATTAAAATAAAAGTTTTTATACTTACAGATTTAAGCTTAAGTTATTTTTAAAATTCCGCATTATCTCTATGATACTGGTTAAATGGAGTGCTATTCCACAATACAATGGCTAGCCATCTACAAAAACGTAAAAGCACAATTTCTTTGAGAATTCATTGTCCTAAGTATGGGACATGAGTCTTTTCTGCTAATGGAGACATATAAAGTCTGCATCTGTGTTGGAACGTGTTTATAAGTTAAAACACAAAGCATGAAGAAGTTAGAACCATTTTATAAATCTCAGGAAGTGAACAAATCTTATAAACTTTAGATTCATTTATTGAGGAAAACAATATTTACTGACTTTTCTCTGTGCTATTTCCAGTTTTAACAATCATATTATATGTATGCAGGTATGTTTTTAATATTTATTGCTTTTCTAATTGCAAAAGTACTGAAAATTCCTTGTACATACTTTTGAAAATGCAGAAAAGGGCAGAGAAAAATTTTAAAGACCACAACCCAAAGATAACTATTCTGCTAACAACTCTGATATATGTTCTTCCAGATATATATATAGAGATAGTATATATTCCCTTTTATAAAACTATGAAAATATTGTAAAAACTTTTGTATAATTTTTTAAAATGTAACACTTACCTTTTAGTGTTCTTAAATATTTTTCTGGAACAAGGCTTTTAAATAGCTGTGTGTATTTTTATTGTAACCTAACTCAAGAATTTTTTGAACATTGTGGAATATAAAATATAAATATTAAACCTCCTAGCATAATATTAGTTTAATCTGATTTTTATCATTATTAAAAGGCAAAACAACTTACCTTCTACTGCAAATTATAATAATTTGAAATATGAGACTTGAATTTAAATACATATTCAAACTATTTAATGGATCAAGAACTCTGTAACATTCAGATTTTTCAACCAAATAATATGATATTCTGGAATCATGGAACCAAAAGTATATTGTTACAGATTTTAAAATATGATGATTAGATTGATGAGGATTGTAAAGACTTTCTTTTACATAAAAAAAATAAATAGCCCACAGAATTCAAAGCCAATCAGTATTACTTTTAAGTGGATTCTTTATGAGGGAGGAAAATCGTAATTCTCCAAAAGAAGCAGAAGAGGAAATGACAGAGCATGTAAATTACAGTAATTTTTTAAGCTTTGTATTTTGAAATAATTTTAGATTTACAGAAGTGTTACAGAGAAGGTACCACTTCCTTTAATCTTCCAATCTTAATATTTTACATAATCATGGTACATTTGTCAAAACTAAGTTATTGAAATGGGTACAACACTATTAACCAAAGTTCAAATTTCATCAGTTTTTCCAATAATGCCATTTTTCTGTTCCAGGATCCAAAGCAGGTTACTACGTTACACTTAGACTTGATTTCACCTTAGTTTCCTCCAGTCTCTGAGAGTCCCTCCGTCTTTCCTTGTTTTTCAATGACTTTACAACTTTTGAAGAGCACTGCTGTGGTATGTATTTTGTAGACTGTGGTATGTATTTTGTTTCCCAATTTGGGCTTGTTTGATGTTTTCTCATGATGATACCAGGGTCAGGAATCCCTGACAAGAATACTATACAGATGAAGTGCCCCTCTCATCACCTCATACTTGGAAGTACATATCAGTATGACTTATTACTGGTGATGGTAAATAATATGGTTTGGATCTGTGTCCCATCCAAATCTCATGTTTAACTGTAATCCCCAGTGTTGGAGCTGGGGCCTGGTAGTAGGTGGCTGGATCATGCAGGCGGTTTCTCATGAATGATTTAGCACCATCCCCTACGTCCTGTTCTTGTGAAAGTGAGCGAGTGAGCTATCATGGGATCTGGTTGTTTAAAAATGTGTAGCACCTCCCCCTTCTCTCCCTTCCTCCTGCTCCAGCCACGTGAAGATGCCTGCTCCAGCTTTGCCTTCCACCATGAGTAAAACTCCCTGAGACCTCCCCAGAAGAAGATGCTACCATGCTTCCTGTACAGCCTGTGGAACCATTAGCCAACTAAACCTCTTTTCTTAAAAATTCCCAGTGTACAGGCTGAGACAGTAGAATTGCTCGAACCCAGGAGGCAGAGGTTGCAGTAAGCCGAGATTGCGCCACTGCACTCCAGACAGGGCCAGAAGAGTGAGACTCCGTCTCAAAAAAAAAAAACAAAATTACCCAGTCTCACGTATTTCTTTACAGCAATGTGAGAACAGACTAAACAGCAACCTTGATCTCTTGATTAAGATAATGTCAGCCACGTTTCTGACTACAAAGTTACTAATTTTCCCTTTCTATATTATTTTAATTAGAAGTTACTAAACCCAGACCACACTAAAGGCAAAATTAAGCACTGCCTCCTGAAAGGGGGAGAATCTAACTCTTTATGAAATCCAATGTATGTATTTTTCCTTTCATGCTTATGCTTTTAGTATCATATCTAAGAAATAGTTGCCTAATCCAAGATCATGAAGATTTATGCCTGTTTTTTTTTCTAAGAATTTTATAGCTTGAGCTCTTACATTTACATCTTTGATCCATTTTAAGTTTTTCATATAGGTAGGGGTTCAACTCAACCTTATTTACTTGCATATAGATATCCAGTTGTCCCAGAACCACTTTTTTAAAAAGATTATTCTTTCCCAACTGAATTTTCTTGGAATCCCTGTTAAAAATCAATTAACTATAAATATAAGGTTTATTTCTGGATTCTCAATTCTATTCCATTGATCAATGTATCTATCCTTAAACCAGTACCACACTGCTTTGACTTATTGTTGTTTTGTAGTAAGTTTTGAAATTGAGAAGTGTCTGTGCTGAACTTTGTTTTTCTTTTTCAAGATTATTTTGGCTTGCATTTTCATATGAATTTTAAGATTACCTTGTCAATTCCAGCAAAAAAGGGCATCTGGGAATTTGATAGGATTGCACTGAATCTATAGATCAATTTGAAGAGTATTGTCCTCTAAACACATCTAAGTCTTCCAATCCATGTCTTTCTTATTTTGGTAATTTTTATATGATGTTTTTAAGTTTTCACTGTATAGTTCTCACAATTTTTTGTTAAATTCATTCCTATTTTATTCTTTTTGATACTATTATAAATGAAATTATCTTCTTAAATCCATTTTTGGTTTATCTATTGCTAAGAAATAGAAGTATATAATTGAATCTTGCATACTGATCATGTATCCTACAACATTGCTAAAATCGTTTATTAGTTCTGATAATTTGTGTGTGTATGTATTCCTTAGAATTTTCTATACACAAGATCATGTTATCTATAAATAAAGATAGTTTCACTTCTTCCTTTCTGATCTGGATGCCTTATATTTCTCTTTCTTAATTTCCCTGGCTTGATCCTTCAGTACAATGTTAAATAGCAGAGATTAGAGTGGACATCTTTGTCTTTTATTCCTAGTGTTAAGGGTAAAGCTATCAGTCTTTCACCATTAAGCAAAATGTTAGTCTGTTTTCACAGTTGCCCTTTATCAGGTTAAGGAAGTTTGCTTGTATTCAAGTGTTGTCAGGAGAAGTTGAATTGTTTCAAATGCTTTTTCTGCATCTTTTGAGATGATCGTGTGATTTTCTTCCTTTATTCTATTAATGTGATCTGTTATACTGACTGGTTTTTGCATTTGTATTTTACATTTTCTTTGATTGGTATATTGAACTAATATTGCATTCCTAGGATAAACTCTGATCAGTCATAGTATATAATCTTTCTTATATGTTGCTGAATTCTGTTTGCTAATATTTTGTTGACGCTTTTAAGCTCCATATTCATAGGAGTATTCGTTGGTAGTTTTCTTTTCTTGTAATATGTTAATTTTAGTATCAAAATAACACTGGCTTTATAGAATGATTTGGAAAGTGTTCCCTCCTCTTCTAGCCCTTATAAAAGCAGAGCTATTTAAAAAATGTTGTAAGATTTTACACAGCCATCTAGCACTCAGAATTTGAGTGGAGAAAAGGTAATTACAGAAAGGATTTACAGGAGGCTTTTGGCCATGTTACAATAACTAGTATTGGACTTACCCTCCAGTATAAACAATTATGAAAACAGACAAAATATATCATTGGCTGTTCTTTAAAACAAAAAGTAGAACAAAAAGGAAACACATCAAAAGTATTTGTGAAGAGGATTTCCATGAAGACAGCTGTCCTATAATTTCGAGCCATTGCAAGAGGAGTATAGGTGGTATCTGTGCTTCACCCCAAGCCTAGAGAGACTTAAGAAAGAATAAAAAAAAGCCTGTAAAATTTCTCATGTATTCCCTGCCATTGGGAACCACAGTCTTTTGTTGCATAACTTGCTCCTGAGAAAACTAAAGCAGATAATGGCAGCAGAATGGAGAGGGCTACATTTGGGAACTAACTGCATTCCCCTCCAATGGCTAATAAAAATGTGGAATCCTGAAGACAAAATATGGAACCCATGGAGATACGTTGGCCTGAGATGATTCAAACCAAGATCCTATACAAAAGGAATATCAAACACCCTGTTATATTCTGTCAATAGGAGCACTCAGAGGAGACTAGAGGGAAGAAAGAGGGAGAAAAGAACTTGCTACTTCCTGTATAATTCCTATTGCTCTCAGCATCACCCAGCAATGATACTTCACCCTGGCAGAAACAGGTGGTACTACAGTAGCAATAGGTTGCAGTTTACACTCCCAAAACCACCCTCATTGTGTCCCTCAGAGATACCAACACCAGATGGCCAGTGCCCCTCCCCAGAGTTCCCAGCCCAGTAGCCATACTCCTGAAGTACCAGCACTAATCAGGCAATGACTCCTCCTAAAGGGCCTGAGTCCCAGCTCAGGATCCTGACTCTGAGCTTCTATGAGTTAAAAATACCAACTAACCTCTTACCTTTTTTACTCTCAGACTTAAAAGAAGGTATCTGTTCTCAATACCAGGCTAATAATTCTATTTAAAATTCTCTATTAAAATAATTGTTATAGTTCTTGACTCCTGACTAGATTCTGACTTATTTACCTTGTAAGTTTCATCATCCTCAATGGAATCTAATGTGTAACCCATAATGTGATATTATAGAATTCATCCTGTAGCCTCATGTTCAATGGGTGGTGACCACAAAGTAATTCACCTGGCACATTACTGATGTCCATAAAGGGTTTACACTGTTACTTGTTATAAATGGGCGAAGTCCTTTCCTTTAACCACTTTGAGGTTTTCCCAACCAACTATGGAAGCCCAAAATGATCTCAATACAACCTTCTCCTTTTGTTTTCACCAGTACACTTCTACAGCCCACATTTTCACTTAAGACTCTTAGGAATAAGACAGTTGCCAGGCCCAATATTCCCTAAATTCTCAGAGCCACATGTGAAATTCTCTAAATGGGTCTCTTCACAGCCCCATCACTTGCTTTAGTCAAGGCCAGCAACACTCTCCTAACCATGGGAAAGGCAAAGGAGGAATTATCATAAAACACTGACATCTTTCTCCCAAGAAATTCTCAATATAGGCCTCCATTTTTTAATCTCCAATGACTCTCCAGTACTTAATTTACATAGTATGGAGGTGGGTGATAGGTTAATAAGAGCAGAACTGAGTTTTGGCAGCCCTTTTGCTAACCTTACATATATGGTCTAGTGCTTAAGTGTAGAATGTAGATACCAGCATGTCTGAGCCTCAGCCTCTAGAGCTTTCTTTGAAACTTCAAGTCATCAGAAAATGTTACACTTAAAATCTTACTTATATTAGTTTGGGTGTAAACTAATCTTATGTAACAAGAGACCCCAAAATATAATAGCTCAAATAAGGTAGAAATGTATTGCTCTCTCACGTAATATTCAGAGGCAGGTAGGTGGAGCAAAATGGTAAAGTAGCTGGCTCTGTGGGATACCTGGGAACTAGGGTCCTTCCATCTTGTTTTTCAGACATTCCCTGAGAGTATTTCCCTTACCTGCATGAGTGAAGCTGATTCACTACAATGGTCAAGGTCCAGCCTTGAAATGAAACAGAAGGATCCACATATCCATTGTTTTAAAGCAAGACCCAGAATCTGCATTTCTAATTTCTACTCCCATCCTATATACAGATAAAAACTTAGACATGTAACTACATATATCTCTAACAAGGCTGGAAAACATCATCTCTGGCTCAGGCGTCATGAGTTCAGATGGAAATCAGCAGCTTCTGTTGCTAAAAGGAAAAATGAAATGAAAGAATGCATGTTGAAAGAACAATTAGCACATTCTGCTGACAATCACTTATATGTAAGTGCAAATTTAAAATGAATATTGAAAAAGAAATTACTAAAAACATTTAACACAAAATGTTACATTAAGAATATACTGTAATCCCATAACTAGGTATATATCCAAAGGAAAATAAATTGCTTTACCAAAAAGACACATGCAACTGTGGTTCATCACAGCACTATTCACGATAGCAAAGACATGGAATTAATTTAATTTAAGTGCCTAGCCTACCAATGATGGACTGGATTAAAAAAATGTGGTACATATACACCATGGAATACTATGAAGCCATCCAAAAGAATGAAATCATGTCCTTGCAGCAATATAGATACACCTGGGGGCCATTATCCTAAGGAAATTAATCCAGGAACGAGAAACCAAATACTGCATGTTCTCACTTTTAAGTGGGAGCTAAACACTGTGTACACATGGATATAAAGATGGCAACAGTAGACAACAGAGACTACTAGAGGAGGGGAGATGGGGATGGGGGAAGGGGTTAAACTATCGGGTACTATGCTCGCTACTGGGTGACAGGATAAACCATACCCGAAACTTCAGCATTGTGCAATATACCCATGTAACAAACTTACACATATACCTCCTGAATCTAAAATAAAAGCTGAAATTATAAAAAGGGGGAAAAAAACGAATATACTTTTAAGTTGTGGTGGTCCATTGCAAAGCAAGGTGACTATAATTAGTGATAATATGTATTTCAAAATTTCCAAAAGGTTGGATTTTATAAGTACGTGAGGTGATGGATATGTTAATTAGCCTGATTTGCTCATTCTACAATGTATACATGTATCCAAGCATGACTTTTTACTCCATAAATATACTATTATTTGTCAATACAAATTAAATTTCTTAAAAATTGTAAATAAGAATACACTTTTAAAAATAAAAATTGGTTTCTTTACAAATTTAGTTCTAAAACCATTTTAAACATGCATAAGTAATATTCTATCTTGACATTTAAGAAACTAATGTTGAGATAACTGTGATCTACTTTCAGTGATCTAGTAGCAAAAACAATGAAAAAATCGATTCTTTAAATGAGCAAAGACCCTTAATGAAATGCCTTCAAACTCTGAAGAAACACTTTATCAGCGCCAATAAAGTAAAAACAACAATAAAAATACCAAAATTTTCATTTCACCTCACCTTCTTTTATCCACCTACCTTGAGTTACATAGGTAGGAAAATGCCCAAAGCATTCCGGCATCATGAGGGAAAAACCCAAGATAGCATTTAAGTTTATTCACAAATTGAATATCAATTCCTCCAGTGACTTTAAAGAAGCAACATATTAAATAATAGAACATACTACCACTAATATTTATAGAAATAGTGAAAGTTCTAAAAATGGCCAGCCAACAGGTTATTTTTGGCTACACTACACTGTGTGAGCTTTATTCCATACAGGCTTAACATATGTTAGATATGTTTTAGAAAAACAAATCAGTTCAACATGAACTAATATTCAGGCAGTAACCTCAAATCAATTAGTGCCAACCCTTGACTTCCTTGACAAGAACTCCCTAGGTTAATAAATGAGTTTGGATTATCAGAGTAATGGTCACTATGGTAACCCCGGTCACTGTTTTAAAAGCTAATTTCAGATGTCATCAGACTATAGATGGCAGTTTAACAAAGTTGCACATTCTAAGAGAACCAAACAATTTTATCCTTGGGAGACCTGTTTGAAAAAATATTGTTTTCACATTAAAGAGGAGTACATTAAGCCAAATAAAAAAAAAGTGGGGGAGTAGTAAGAATATTTAACCAAGTCTGGAAGTCAGGCAGTAGCTTAGACTAAAAAAGCTATTCTAATATAAGGCAGTTAAATACCCAATGGTCGAAATAATATTTTTAAAACCAAGATTTACTATCCAAAGAAAAAAATCATAAAATGATGTCATATTTAGTGTATGGAAACATTTAAAATTCTAGCATAGAGTAACTTGGAATAACACATTTAGTATTCGAATTTGTAACCTACACAATTATACATATTATTTTAGGTAACTTAAAAGCCCTATTTAATAAACATTTCTAACAGAGTAATGGAATTATTTTTAATTTTTGAAAACAAAGATATAACAACAACAAAAAAGTAAAACAAGCACAGAACTAAAACAGGTAAATTCATTAATTGAAGTCAATGAAGTAGACGACCAAAGATCTGAAACAAGTTACATATTCTCTAAATCAAGGAACCTAAATAGACAATATCTCAAAAAAGGCAAGCCATTAAGATGCCTACTTGATTACTGCCCTATGCAGCAGGTCTAACAGGCAAATTGGATCTCAAAAAGACCATACAGGCTGTGCCACTTATCAAGCTATTGTCTCTTAGCTCTACACCCAGACTTCTACACTCTAGCCTCTGATGCTAGGACTGAGACCCTTAAATTCCATTTTGGCTTTGCCAGCTGGCTCCACGTTGCACTCTGCCAAAAAGGGATCTTAGAAGTGGGAAGAGTCAACTTGCTTCCTCTGTCTTCTTCCTGTTTGCTTTCTACAAGCTTCCTGTGTGTGTGCCATTTTTGTTAGCATCACCCTGACAACACTTCTTTACCCCAGCAACAGCAGGGAGCTTCCACAGCATCAGCTGAATTTAGTTGCAATTTTTCCAACACTTGGAAAACAAGTTTTATCATGTCCTCCCGGCCCAGAAATATTAGCACCAACATGGCAGTGCCCCCTACTCAGATGTCAGGTTGTCAGGTCTGTGGGTCCTCTCTTCTAAGCATCTAAGTGTTAGTAATTTCAATCTCTTCTTTTTGTTCCTCCAACCCTAGTGGTAGTAGCTGTAGTGCCTTAATATTCTCATGTCCCCTTTTTAGTTATCTAGTGAACTTTATGCCTAATTTAACATTCTGAATATTAAAGGCTCTGTTTAAATAACTAAGACGGCTTCTGTCCACTGACTGGTTCCTGACTAATCACCTATCCAGTAATTCTCAAGGTGAGTGGAACTATCAAAATCACTAAGAGACTGGGAGGTACAGTTTGAAAATGAGTATCTACCAGTGTGATATAGTTTTCTATTTGCAAAATGAAAATATATTATTTTCATAAAACAAATCTTAACCAAATATTTTATTAATATTATTTTTCATTGACAAACCATAATTATATACATTTATGAGGAACAATGTGATGTTTTGATACATGTATACAATGTAAAATGATCAAAACAGATCTATTGGGAAAAATGGCAGACAGGAGGCAGAACTAACTTGCAGCTCCCACTCAGATGGACAGAGCAGCATGCAGAGACTCACATTATGAACTTCTGCTCCAAGAACTACAACAGGAACATACCAGGAAAACCAAGAGAATCCATAGACACTTTGAATGAAGCAGCTTGCCGCGGCAGGCTCAGTAAGACAGCCAGAAAACTGTGAGTGCCCAAAGTGTGAGAGGAAGGATGTCCACCCCTGAACATACATCCTCACTGGGGAATGTGAAGATTTAGATCATGGGAGAAGAATATGACCTTACCTGAAGTTGAGACAAACTTAGAGCCAAGCAAAATACAGAAGTAGAGGAAGCAGCAGAAAGAGCCCTGTGGGGCACTCTCGGTCCCCAGGGAAGCCATTCCTGACTTTCTCTCGCAGGAGTCCTTGAGGAGGGCTGCCAGTGGAATTACAGAAAGACCAAAGGGAGAAGGAAATTTCCAGACAAACTTTGTAACACTTTTGACTGAAGGCGAAGTTTCCTGGACCGAATCCAAGGGAGGGGGCAACCTAGGAGTACAGATACAAGCACAGAAACTGTGGCATGTGGGGAGGCAGGAAACCTGAAAGCCCTGCTTGCTTTCTCAGCAGGGAGGCTTGTAGCCTGGGGCAAGTTCTCAGCCCTGCTCACCAGCTGCCTGTAAATAAACTCAGTGCTGTTGGTGGGGCACGGTGGGAGTAAGACTGGCCCTTCAGGCTCTGCGGTGAGGCCTGTCACTACTGGCTTTTCCCCACTTCTGTGGTAACCTGTATGATGCAGCAGAGGCAGCCATAATCCCCCTGGGAACATAACTCCGTTAGCAAGCCTAAGAACCATACCCTGCCCCCCACAGCAGCTGCAGCAAGCCACACATAAAGAAAATCTCAGCTCAGACACATATAACCCTGCCCCAACTTGATGGTCTTTCTCTACCCACCCTGATAGCCAAATACAAAGAACATAATTTCTTGGGAGCTCTATGGGCCCAACTACCACCTGAAAAACCTGAATATTTATGCAGGCAACCCTAAGGCAAGCTTGTATCCTCCCTATACTACCACAGCTGATGCTCTCTCGAAAGCACCACCTCCTGGCTGGAGGCCAACCAACACAAAACCAGTGCACTAAACAAAACTGCAACCAAGAACCCTCATAGAGTCCAATTCACTCCCCTGCTACCTCCACCAGAGCAAATGCTGGTATCCATAGCTGAGAGACCTGAAGATAAATAACATCACAGGACTCTTTGCAGACATGCCCCAGTACCAGCCTTGAGCCTGGTAGCTCGTAGATCCACTGGTAGCTAGATGCAGAAGAGAAATAACAATCACGGCAGTTCGGCTCTCAGGAAGCTCCATCCCTAGGGGAAGGGGGAGAGCACTACTACATCAAGGGATCACCCCGTGGGACAAAAGAATCTGAAAAATAGCCCCTGAGCCCCAGATCTTTTCTTCTCACATAGTATACCCAAATGAGAAGGAACCAGAAAAACAATTCTGGTAATATGACAAAACAAGGTTCTTTAACACCCCAAAAAAATCACACTACCTCACAAGCAATGGATCCAAACCAAGAAGAAACCTCCAAATTGCCAGAAAAAGAATTCAGAAGGTCGATTATTAAGCTATTTAAGGAGGCACCACAGTAAAGTGAATACCACCTTAAAGAAATAAAAATTATACAAGATATGGATGGGAAAAATCTCCAGAGAAACAGATAGCATAAATAAAAAACAATTATAACTTCTGGAAATGAAGGACACACCTAGAGAAATGGAAAATACACTGGAAAGTCTCAGCAATAGAATCAAATAAGTAGAGGAAAGAACTTCAGAGCTCGACAGCAAGGCTTTCAAATTAACCCAGTCCAATAAAGACAAAGAAAAAATAATAAAAAATAAATAAACAAAGCCTCCAAGAAGTTTGGGATTATGTTAAACAACCAAACCCAAGAATAATTGGTGTTCCTGAGGAAGAAGAGAAATCTAAAAGTTTGGAAAACATATTTAAGGGAATAATCGAGGGAAGCTCCTGGCCTTGCTAGAGATCTAGACATCCAAATACAAGAAGCTCAAAGAATACCCAGGAAATTCATTGCAAAAGATCATCGCTTAGGCACAAAATCATCAGGTTATCTAAAGTCAAGGCAAAGGAAAGAATCTTAAGAGCTGTGAGGCAAAAGCATCAGGTGACCTACAAAGGAAAACCTATCAGATTAGCAGCAGGTATTCAGGCAACAACTAGCACAACAAATAGAATAGTATCTCATTTTCAATACTAACTTCAGTGTAAATGACCTAAATGCTCCACTTAAAAGATACAGAATGGCAGAATGGATAAGAATTCACCAACCAACTAACTGCTGACTTCAAGAGATTCATCTAACACATAAGGACTCACATAAACTAGGAAAAAGACATTCCATGCAAATGGACACCAAAAGCAAGCAGGAGTAGCTATTCTTATATCAGACAAAACAGACTTCAAAGCAACAACAACAACAAAAAAAGACAAAGAGTGACATTATATAATGATAAAAGGACTAGTCCAACAAGAAAATATAACAATCCTAAATATATATGCACCTAACACTGGAGGTCCCAAATTTATAAAACAAGTACTACTAGACCTGCCTAAGAAATGAGATAGACAGCAACACAATAATAGTGGAGGATTTCAGTACTCCACTGACAGCACTAGACAGGCCATCAAGACAGAAAGTCAAAAAAGAAATACAGACTTAAACTATATCCTAAAACAAAATGGACTTAACAGATATTTATAGAACATTCTACCCAACAACTGCAGAATATACATTCTATTCATCAGCACATGGAACATTCTCCAAGAAAGACCATATAATAGGCCACAAAACAAGTCTCAATAAATTTAGAAAATCAAAACTAGATCAAGTATTCCCTCAGACTCTAGTGGAATAAAATTGGAAATCAACTCCAAAAGGAACCCTCACAAGCATGCAAATACATGGAAATTAAATAACCTACTCCTGAATGATCACTGGGTCAACAATGAAATCAAGATGGAAATTTTAAAATCCTTTGAGCTGAATGATAGCAGTGACATAACCTATCAAAACACCTGGGATACACCAAAAGCAGTGCTAAGAGGAAACTTCATAGCACTGAATGCCAACATCGAAAAGTCTGAAAGAGCACAAATAGGCAATCTAAGGTCACACTTCAAGGAACTAGAGAAACAAGAACAAACCAAACCCAAACCCAGCAGAAGAAAGGAAATAGCTGAGATCAGAGCTGAACTAAATGAAATTGAAACAAAAATAAAACAATACAAAAGATAAATAAGGCTGGGCGCGGTGGCTCACGCCTGTAATCCCAGCACTTTGGGAGGCCGAGGTGGATGAATCAGGAGGTCAGGAGATTGAGACCATCCTGGCTAACACAGTGAAACCCCGTCTCTACTAAAAATACAAAAAATTAGCCAGGTGTGGTGGCAGGTGCCTGTAGTGCCAGCTACTTGGGAGGCTGAGGCAGGAGAATGGCATGAACCCCAGAGGCAGAGCTTTCAGTGAGCCGAGATCATGCCACTGCACTCCAGCCTGGGCGACAGAGCGAGACTCTATCTCAAAAAAAAAAAAAAAAAAGATAAATAAGACAAAAAACTGGTTCTTTGAAAAGATAAATAAAATTGATAGACGATTAGCAAGATTAACCAAGAAAAGAGGAGAGAAAATACAAATAAGCTCAATAAGGAACAAAACAGGAGATATTACAACTGACACTATATAAATACAAAAGATCATTCAAGGCTACTGTGAACACCTTTACATGCATAAACTAGAAAACCTAAAAGACATGGATAAATTCCTGGAAAGTAGAGAGGCATCACATTACCCAACTTCAAACTATACTATAAGGCTATAGTCACCAACTCAGCATGGCACTGGTATAAAAATAGGCATGTAGACCAATGAAACAGAAAAGAGAACCCAGACATAAAGCCAAATACAGCCAACCAATCTTTGACAAAGCAAACAAAAACATAAAGTGGGGAAAGGACGCTCTATTCAACAAATGGTGCTGGGATAATTGGCAAGCCACATGTAGAAGAATGAAACTGGATCCTCATCTCCCCTTTATACAAAATCAACACAAAATAGATAAAAGACTTAAATCTAAGACCTAAATCATAAAAATCCTAGAAGATAACATCAGAAAAACCCTTCTAGACATTGGCTCAGGCAAAGACTTAATGACAAAGAACCTAAAAGCAAATGCAACAGAAACAAAAATAAACAGATGGAATTTAATAAAACTAAAAAGTTTCTGCACAGCAAAAGAAATAATCAGCAGAGTAAACAGCCCACAAAGTGGGAGAAAATCTTTGCAAACTATGCATTTGACAAAGGACTAATATACAGAATCTACAAGGAACTGACTTAAACAAACTAGGAAGAAAAAACAGCCCACAAAGTGGGAGAAAATCTTTGCAAACTATGCATCTGACAAAGGACTAATATCCAGAATCTACAAGGAATTGACTTAAACAAACTAGCAAGAAAAAAATAAACAATCCCATCAAAAAGTGGGCTAAGGACATGAATAGACAATTCTCAAAAGAAGATATACAAATGGCCAACAAACATATGAAAAAATGCTTAACATCACCAATGATCAGGGAAATGCAAATCAAAACCATGATATGATACCACCTTATTCCTGCAAGAATGGCCATAACCCAAAAATCAAAAAATAATAGATGTTGGCATGGTTGTGGTGAAAAGAGAACACTTTTACACTGCTGGTAGGAATGCAAACTAGTACAACCACTATGGAAAGCTGCATGAAGATTTTTTTAAAGAACTAAAAGTAGATCAACCATTTGATCCAGCAATCCCAGAGGAAAAGAAGTGATTATACAAAAGGATACTTGCACACATATGTTTATAGCAGCACAATTTGCAGTTGCAAAAATATAGAACCAACCCAAATGTCTATAAATCAACAAGTGGATAAAGAAAATATGTTGGCCGGGTACGGTGGCTCATGCCTGTAATCCCAGTTATTTTGGGAGGCCAAGGTGGGCAGATCATGAGGTCAGGAGATCTAGACCATCCTGGCTAACATGGTGAAACCCCATCTCTACTAAAAATACAAAAAATTAGCCAGGCATGGTGGCAGACGCCTGTAGTCCCAGCTACTCGGGAGGCTGAAGCAGGAGAATGGCGTGAACCCGGGAGGCGGAGCTTGCAGTGAGCCGAGATTGCACCACTGCACTCCAGCCTCGGCAACAGAACGAGACTCCATCTCAAAAAAAAAAAAAATTGTGATACACACACACACACACACACACACACATACATACACATAGACCATGGAATACTACTCAGCCATAAAAAGGAACTAAATAATAGCATTTGCAGCAACCTGGATGGAATTGGAGATTCCATCTATGTGAAGTAACTCAGGAATAGAAAACCTAACATCATATGTTCTCACTTATTAAGTGGGAGCTACGCTATGATGATGTAAAGCCATAAGAATGATACAATGAGCTTTGTGGATTCAGGTGGGAAGGGGGGTAAGGGACAAGATTTACTGATCAAGATTGTTTTGGATATTCAGTTAACCAAATATTCTTGGTCCTTAAGGATACACAGAAGAGAGTGATTCTCAACCACAAAGAAATGAAGGTGACGGGGTCTGTGATGGGGACTTAAATGAACAAGAGGTTTAGAAACACTAATTCAAGTCTATCCCCTTCATAATACAAATAAAGAACCTATGACCCATTAGACCTATAAACTTCTTGAGTAAAGGAACTGAGTTTTGTCTACCAAAATGCATTGTAAACATTCAAAATAAAAACTTGTTTGAATGAGTGAAATTAAAGGCATACCCAAGATCAAAAACTAGTTAGTGTCAGAGTTAAGCCAATGATAATATCTCTCAGTTGGAGGTCTTATTTTGCCTATCCCACCTTTATGGAAGGGTCCCATTATCACTATGCTGAAGGCCCAGAAAAACACTGGTGAAGGTGGACTTTCACACGAAGCCGACTCTGTACTGCAGAGTGGCATGTGGGAATATTAATACAGAGTGCTCTTATGATCAACTCTTTAAGAAGAGCAGGGAAAGAAGTAGGATTAGGCAAAGGAAAAAGTTTAACTGTGGTGTAGTACCAAAGGAGGCCTCGAGGCTTTTGACTCGAAAGCAGGGGTCCCCAACCCCCAGGCCACGGACCAGTTCCTTTACTCACATTTCTTGTGCACACCCATATATCCTTTCTCATACCCCTCTACCTCAGACATCCTTGTTCCCAATCTACTAATTCTTCTTCCAAGTCCCTTTCCAACCAGCCAAGCCATTCACCCTTCCCCATGAGTCCATGTATATTTTAACCTGGGGCTATTTCTCTTACTACACAAAGTGAATGATGAAGTGCACCTTCCAAAGATCTGCCCATCAGGAGGATATTCCCTGATCACTTCTCTTTCAAGGACACACAAATAGAGCTGTAGTTCAACTACAAAATCAAACTGACCCATCCGTGAATCTAATGTGGGCTTTTTTTGCTTCACCAACTGATCAAAGGTATCACCCATGGAGATATAAGTTGAGGGAAAGGCACTTGGGCAATGGTAGTGGATGACATGAAAGAGTCCAGTCCACCTGCTCATGCAGCTTGCACCCTCTGGTCCTGCTTGTGTTCACTCCTGCACGTACCACTTTCATCTTAGGATAGATCATTACTGAACAACTGTGACCCCGATGTCACCTGTGTGATATCTCAGCGCCAAGCAACACATCTCTCCCAGGGCTCTGCAGCACGCCAGGAGCTATTTTTCAAAAGGTATATAAATCTCTGCTGTGTATTCTGAACATGCTTCTGAATTCAACAAGTTTGTGTTGTGAGTCTCCCATTGAAACTTGCCATAAACTCCACACATCCCTATCTTCCATTCTGTGTCTTTTTCCACCACTGATATCCCTTATATGCAAATGTATGGCGCTACCACCCATATGCAGTAAAATCTATCATAATTTTTTCTGAGTTTTAGCTAGTATAATATCTTAAATGTAAATATACAAAATTTCTTTTTCTTGAATCTATGCTTTAAATTCAGTCTCCACATTCAACTTTTTCTGTAATTAACCTAACCTATGGGCAAGCAGGAGAGGTTAAAAAGTGGCCAGAATCATTAAAGACAACAGGCTACAGAAGATTAGAGGGAGGAGCACTTACTTCCCTTTGAGAGTGTGAGAGGTTGAATGATGACCCATCCAAAAATATCCACATACTAATTTCTAGAACCTAAGAATTTATCCTATATGGAAAAAAATATTTTACAGATGTTATTAAGGGTCTGAGTGGATCCTAAGTGCAATTACATGTATTTGTATAAGACAGAGACAGAAGGAAACACACACACTCACGAGTAGAGAAGGCAATAACGTAAGCATGGAGACAGAGACTGGAGTGATGTGCCACAAGCCAAAAGAATGCCAGCAGTCACCAAATCCCAGTAGGAGCTGCAAAAGGCAAGGAACAAATTCTCCACTAGAGCCCCTCTTGGGGGAACATGGTCCTGTCAACACGTTGATTTTGACCCAGTAAAAATAATCTCTTATTTCCAGCGTCCTGAACTGTAAGAGAATAAAGTTCTATTGTTTTAAGTCGTCAAAGTTTGCGGTAATATGTTAACAGCAGCAAGAGAAAATTAATATAGAGATAAATAGGAATAATAAAGAAAAACCTTATGTGGTGAATAGAATTTTAATGGTAGATAAGATTTACATATATTGTGATTGAAAAAGAAGAAAAACAGTAGGGAAGAGGTAATATTACAGGTGGAGGGAAAAGTATTACAGGTGAAGGGAAAACTTAGTAAAAAAGAAATTTAAGGGAGTTATACAGGGAAAACAAAAGTAGTTCAATTAGACAAGAGTACAAACTGCTTGAAGATGGTGATACAGATTGTTGACAATCCTGAATGCCAGTCTAAACGTGCACTTTGATCTGTAGACAGTTAAGGTTCTCTGCAACTTGTAAGGACAGGGTCAGGGCAGGGGAGGTAAGGGAGGAGGAAACACCAACATGATACACCTTTTGCACATCTGTGTCACACTACTCTCTATTTTTCTACTCTTCACCCTCCAACACAGGTATGAGGGTTGAGATTGATTCCCCAGGACCTAGTAAAAAAGTATGGCATATATGTTTGATGAATAGTGAATGCATTAACGAATAATACTGTACATGTTTTGTTTTACTCATCACTAAGCATGGTATGAGGGAGTAGAACAGAATACCAAACTGCACTTCAATCACTTACTTTTACTCTTCAAAGTTCTGATTATTAAAATGATTTTATTTTAAAAGTAATATTCCAAATATAAGAGATTTGGACTTAATGTGATTAACCGTAAGGCATACTTCAGAACACCAATAGCAATTCTAGTCAATTCCACTCAGTTAATGGTGGCTGTCTGAGGCAATGTTGAGAAATAATGTAAGAATTACACCATAATAGATTAGGAACATTTGCTAAAGTGCTGGATTCGGAGTAGAAACATAAATGGCTTGTTTCCCATTCCATTCTTGCTCTAGAAGTTAGTTATTTGCATACAAATGGCCAACAGGTACATGAAAAATTGCTCAACATCACTAAGTATATAAGAAATGAAAATCAAAGCCATAATGAGATATTATCTTACCCCAGTCCAAATGGCTACTGTTAAAAAGACAAAAAATAATGGATGTTGGTGAAGATGCGGAGAAAAGAGAACTCTTATACACTGTTGATGAGAATGTAAATTAGTACAGCCACTGTGGAAAAGTATATGGAGATTTCTCAAAAAATTAAAAATAGAATTATTCAATCCAGCAATCCCACTATTGGGTATCTACCCAGAGGAAAGAAATCAGTATATCAAAGGGATACCTACACTTGCATGTTTATCGCAGCACTATTCACAATAGCAAAGCTATGGAATCAACCTAAGTGTCCATCAACAGATGAATGGATAAAGAAAATGTGGTATATATACACAATGGAGTACTATTCAGACATAAAAAATGAAATCTTGCCATTTGCAGTAACGTGGATGGAGCTGGAGGTCATTATCTTAAGGGAAATAAGCCAGGAACAAAAAGACAAATATCACACGCTCTTACTTATATGTGGAAGCTAAAAAATTTGATCACATTAAGGTAGAGAGTGGAAAGACAGATAACAGACTGGGAAAGATGAGGGGAGTGGGAACAGGATGAAGAGAGTAGGTTAAAGGTTACAAACATGGAGTCAGATAGAAGGAATATATTCACTGCTTGATAGTAGAGTAGGGTAACTATAGTTACACAAAAATATATTGTATTTGGATGACAGACACCCTAAATACTTGTAACAAAATTTCTCACGTACCCCATAAATTTGTACAAATAAAGTTAGTCACTTGGTTTTTTTAAAAACTTTTCGCCCAGGCGCGGTGGCTTATGCCTGTAATCCCAGCACTTTGGGAGACTGAGGGGGGCGGATCACCTGAGGCCAGGAGTTTGAAACCAGTCTGGTCAACAGGGCGAAACCCCATCTCTACTAAAAATAAAAATATTAGCAGGGCGTGGTGGTGTGAGCCTATAATCCCAGCTACTTAGGAGGCTGAGGGAGAAGAATCCCTTGAACCTAGAGGGCAGAGGTTGCAGTGAGCCAAGATCGCGCCCCTGTACTTCAGTCTGGGTGACAGAGCCGGGCTCTGTCTCAAAAATAAAAAAAAAATTCATTTCTATGCCTTCTTATGTAAGTACAGAAAGAAAAATTCCGTTTAAATGGAGATGTTCATTGGTTGAAGATGGTTAATCAAAGACATGCTGCATTCAAGTAAAAAGCAGACAAAGGCTTGAATATCGAGGAGTTGCAGAGCCAGTATGGGTAACTATTCTAAAATCCTTAAATCGCTCCTGGGCCCTCGAAGTCCTACCCGCGTAGGTCAGCCCGAACTATCAAAATCCCCACTTCCTCTGGAGGTAAGGACGTCCGCCGCGCTCTCCACGTGTCACCTTAAACTCCCACCCCAACCAGCGCAGGCGCACTTCGAAGCCTCCTAGACCAACCTAAGAGAAGTACTGAGCAAGCGCATGAGTTCCATTAACCACGCCCTCCGGAGCTGCCGGAGCAGGCGCAATTAGGAGTAGAGGGCGTGCTTGTGTGATTACAGTCCACTTTACCTTTAACAGATTTGGTTGTCTGGACTCTAGCTCAGGTTCTTTTACCCCTGTCTTGTTGGAAGTCACTTTGCCTAGAGTAGAAGTTGTTTGCGGGAAAAATTTGCTCCTCCCATTAAGTAACCACTTTGCTCTCTGAGGCGGAACGTGTCATTGAGGCAGCAAGTCCTGACAGATATGGAAAAAAAAAGGCACATTGTAGAGAATATCTACACTCCGCCAACTCAGTCACAACGCAAAAATTACACAAAAATAAAACGTTCACTTGTTACATACTATGTGTTTCATAAGACATACAAGTAGTTTTATTTTCCTATATCAATGAGAACAGCACTTCTAACTATTAACAAGGACCTATACTAAGACGCAGCGCGTGCGCGAGCCATCTGGCGCTGTAAAGCGCTTAGAGGCTGGAATAACGACCTGCCTTACGCTTTGCGGCTGTCGTCGGAGAGGCATCTGGGTTCGGACTGGGGCCGCCATGGGGAAAGTGAATGTGGCCAAGTTGCGTTACATGAGCCGAGATGACTTCAGGGTCTTGACCGCGGTAAGAAACCCGCCGTTCCTGTTCTCCCTTCCCCTTAACACTGTGTGACCTCTTCCTGTTCCTGCAAGTTTTCTGGGATCTGAGCAGGCACACTCTGGGACCCGGGACGTGGCAGAAGCTGGGAATGGAGAAGAGAGCATTCAGAAAGTCGGATTTTTAAAAAGGTTTTGTTTGGGAGCTTACCTTCCCCCAGATAGAGCAAAGGTCCCGTCTTCTAATAATTGTTTTCTTTTCTGCTGCTATTCGCTTTGCGCTGAAGAGAAACGCTTGCATCTCTGTGGCCTGGAAACTTCTCTGATCCTGAGCTTCCGACCAGCTGTGAAAGGTTTAAGCCCCCCCCCCCCCCCGAGATTTGATAATATTGACTTCCCTACTAACAGACTCAGTCGCATAGCAGTCTTTCTGATTCATTCAGTCAACACATATTTGTCGGTTTTTTAGTAGCAACATTAGGAGGTTCACTTGTTCAAACAGACAAGTGGAGAGAGAGACACAGATCATCAAGTAAACGA
Organism: Homo sapiens; assembly: GCF_000001405.40. Lineage (NCBI taxonomy): Eukaryota > Metazoa > Chordata > Mammalia > Primates > Hominidae > Homo > Homo sapiens. Next base: position 97,182,613 of record NC_000005.10, on the reverse strand, counting down.
AAAATAGGATAATGGATAAATGCTATGAAAATGATAAAGGATAATGGCATAGAAAGTATATGTATCTGGTGGAGAGGAGGGGCACAAGTTATTGGCCTTTGGTAGACAATCAATAAATATTCACTAAATGAAAGAATGAATGGGGGAATAATAGGAGCTGTGTGAGAAAGAGACAGCCCAGTGAAGTCCTTGGAAAGAGTTGGAGGCAGAGGAAACAGCAGTAGTAAGTGCAAAGGCCTTGAGACAGAAAAGTCTTTGAAGAGAGGAAAGGCCAATGTAATGTGGCTGGAGCAAAGTGAGATGCACACTAATGGTTGGAGATGTAGCGGAAAAGGTGAGAAATTATGTACTACAGAGCCTTGGAGGTTTGGTAAAGAATGTGGGGGTAACCACTAAATGTTTTTAATCAGGGGAGTAACAAAATCTGATTTTATGGCCTCAGTCTTATGGCACAGAAATTAATATATAGATCAAGACATTTGTACATTTATTTAGGAGCCGTTATCTTTTGGTAAGGAGTGAACCCCATGATAAGGACTACCTATATTGTGTAATTATGTAATAGGATATGCGATGTGAGTCACACTGGTTCTTGCATTATGTTAAGGCTTCAAGTTTTGGATTTTTAAAATTAATCTTAAATAGCGCTTAAGTATTAAACTATCAAATGCAAAATCAGTGTGAAATTTGGAAGACAATGTTTACTTTGCCTCTCATGTAGATTCTTCTAATCAGCTGGACTTTCTCTATGAAAACCTACTATCACTTCGGAAAGATACCTTCCTTTCCTGCTTTCTCAGCACACTCATTCCTTAGTGTCTCTGACAGAAGTAGGGGTCAAAAGTAAGAGTGTTAGAGGACGGGGGAGGCAGAGACAAAGCATGGAAAATAAGTTAAATTTAAAAGTTAAGGTTTTGGTGAGACATCAAAATGATGCCAGATTTATCTTCCAAAACATTGGCGCTGCAATATTTAAATTATTTGTAAAGTTCACCAAGAAATGACTTAGTCATTAAATATGACATTCCGGTCTCAGTTGAATCTCACCAGTGTTGGTACCCTTTCTTGGGCCTCTCTTCCCTTTTACTTCTTTGGCTCCTCCTATATCAATAATCATTGTTTGACTAGCTGCCCTTAGCTTTCAATATGAACTTGCCCCAGAATTCTGCTCCCAAACATTCCTTTTCTTCCATTATCTCCTGCTCAGTGATAGCATCCACTTCACATCTTCAACTCTCACTTCTATAAAATAATTGACAATTTTTCCTTCTAATTATAACTTCATTCCTAAATATAGGCCCCTTTCCTATTTAATTTTCTCTCTTTCTTTTTTTTTTTTTTTTGAGACGGAGTCTTATTCTGTTGCCAGGCTGGAGTGCAGTGGCACAATCTCAGCTCACTGCAACCTTCACCTTCTGGGTTCAAGCGATTCTCCTGCCTCAGCCTCCCAAGTAGCTGGGACTATAGGCGCACACCACCACGCCCAGCTAATTTTTGTATTTTTAGTAGAGATGGGGTTTCACCATGTTGGCCAGAATGGTCTCGATCTCTTGACCTCGTGATCCACCCACCTTGGCCTCCCAAAGTGCTGGGATTACAGGTGTGAGCCACTGCACCTGGCCTCCAGTTTTCCTTTAAACATTTTTATTTGACTCTCAGTGCTCAAACCAAATTCAATTTTTTTCTACCCCCTTTCTCTTTTCCCAAGCTCTATAAAAAAAAAAAATAATAAAATCTTAAAACTTGCTTTTCCTCATCACTTCCAATTGTGGCTTTCCGTTCCCTTTACCCTTCCACATCTAATTGCCAAGCTCTCCCATAATACTTCCTAAAGATTTTTATTCCTTCCTTCCAGTACCACTACCACTTACCCTGTTCTGGTGGCTCTTTCCTCTGAGCTGGACTTCTGTCTTAGTTCTCCGGAGTACCCCCTCAGATTTTGCCATCTCTAAGCCAATTTGCATATTCCTGGTACATTAATGTCCTTAAAATAACCCTGTTCGTGTGTCTCCCACGCCTAAACATCTTCAAGAGCTTCCTGCTCTCATCAGGATAAAATATAAAAGTATTTGGTCTACATTTTAATGCCTTCTCTATCCTAGAAGTATCTTCCAGCCGCGTTTGCATGAATTCTATATGCTATCCCATCTGAGCTGCTACTGTACTCAGCTATTCTCTGTGGTCAGTACTTTCTTGCATATGTGCCATTTTCAAATCTTTTTCTTTCACTAATATCCCCTTGTCTGTTTTCTCTGTATGCCCACATCTTTTAAAAGTCAGTCTCTAGTTTTGCATCTTCCTTGGAACTGATCCCTCAGCTAGAAGTATTCTTATTCTGCCCTGAGCTACCTTTTTAAGCACTTATCACTTCTTAACTTCTAATAAACTTAGATGTATACCATTTTTTAAAATTTCCATCATGAGATAAAAATTTCTCAGAGGTAAAAAGCACATATATATATATATATATACATATATATATATATACATATACACATGCAGAAGAGCATGTAGGATAGAGATATATATATATGTGCTTTTTACCTCTGAGGAATAAATTTAAAAATATATATATAATATATATATTATATATATATTATATATATATAATATATATATATTTTATATATATATATTATATATATATATAAAATACTTTTAAGTTCTGGGGTACATGTGCAGAACGTGCAGGTTTGTTACATAGGTATACACATGCTATAGTGGTTTGCTGTACCCATCAACCCATCCCATCTACATTAGGTATTTCTCCTAATGCTATCCCTCCCCTAGCCCCCCACCCCCCGACAGGCCCCAGTGTGTGATGTTCCCCTTTCTGTGTCCACGTATTCTTACTGTTCAACTCCCACTTATGAGTGAGAAAATGTGGTGTTTGGTTTTCTGCTCTTGTGTTAGTTTTCTGAGAATGATGGTTTCCAGCTTCACCCATGTCCCTGCAAAAGGCATGAACTCATCCTTTTTTATGGCTGCATAGTATTCCATGGTGTATATGTGCCACATTTTCTTTATCCAGTCTATCATTCATATATATATATATATCCTCTACGATGCCTACATGTAGTACTTTCTCATTAAATACCTGCTTAATAAATATCTGGCATATCTGTAGTTTTTAAAGACAAATGTTTAGGTGTCATCAAGTATTTTAGCATTGACCAAATGTCATCAGTATGTCTAGCACTCACAGTTCCTACTCTTGAAATGGAAAGCCAATACAAATATCAATGATTAGATTTCAAATTGCAATTAAAAATATTTTCAAGAGACGGAAGTGATTATGTCTCAGAATTAGTTGGAGAACTGCATAGTCAGGAAAGCTTCAAGGAGAAGTTAATTTCGCAGGGTTTTGATAGACAAGGCTTTGTGTTGATTATGATTATATAATGATTCCTTTAATTTCAGGTTGAAATGGGCATGAAGAACCATGAAATTGTTCCCGGCAGTTTGATTGCTTCTATAGCCAGCCTTAAACATGGTGGCTGTAATAAAGTTTTAAGAGAATTAGTGAAACATAAACTCATAGCTTGGGAGCGTACCAAAAGTAAGTATTTTGAGGCACCATTTGTGATTTTTCAGGTAATTGGTTTCCACCAGAGCAAGTGTTCCAAAAGTCAAGAAGTAGAAGTTGCCAGACTAGTAAAGCATTAGACGAAGAACTGACAGAACACACTTCGGCCATATCCTATTAGTCAAAATAATCACAGGGCACACCCAGATCAAAGGAGGTGAAAAAAGAATAGTAGTAAGAACATGTAGGTACTGCAGAAGAGCATGTAGGTACTGCAGAAGAGCACGTAGAGTACTGCAGAAGAGCATGTAGAGTACTGCAGAAGAGCATGTAGAGTACTGCAGAAGAGCACGTAGGTACTGCAGAAGAGCACGTAGGTACTGCAGAAGAGCAGGTAGAGTACTGCAGAAGAGCAGGTAGAGTACTGCAGAAGAGCATGTAGAGTACAGAAGAGCACGTAGGTACTGCAGAAGAGCACATAGAGTACTGCAGAAGAGCATGTAGAGTACAGAAGAGCACGTAGGTACTGCAGAAGAGCACGTAGGTACTGCATAAGAGCAGGTAGAGTACTGCAGAAGAGCAGGTAGAGCACTGCAGAAGAGCATGTAGGTACTGCAGAAGAGCATGTAGGTACTGCAGAAGAGCAAGTAGGTACTGCAGAAAAGCATGTAGGTACTGTAGAAGAGCATGAAGAGCATGTAGGTACTGCAGAAGAGCATGTAGGTACTGTAGAAGAGCATGAAGAGCATGTAGGTACTGCAGAAGAGCATATAGGATAAAGCTATTGTGGCTACCATCTTTGGAAAATACAATCAGTAGTCATACCCTAGATCATTACTTCTGAAACCATCTGTGGTGAAGGATTAGTTTTTTCCAACCTATCACAGATCCTTACTTTTATAAAATACAAAAAAATAATTACTAGAAAAATGAAATGGATAACAGATATACAAAAACAGACATAAATTCTAGGTCAAATTGATATACAAATTGAACTTAAATTCCTCCTTTTATCTTGTCACAAACACTTACAGACCTGTCTGTAGGTCACATTTTGATTATCAGTACACTGGAGAAGAAATGCAAATTATAGGAAGAAATTGGAAGCTTGTGAGCCTGGGCAGTTTATCTTTTTCCAATGAAGACTTTATTGTTAAATCTTTCTTATGACTTGAACTTACGTGACTTGGTTGTACAATGTAACTGAAATATGGTCTTTATGCTTTGATTTTTGTCTAGCTGTCCAGGGCTATCGGTTGACAAATGCAGGATATGATTACCTAGCTTTGAAAACACTTTCTTCTAGGCAAGTAGTTGAGTCTGTTGGAAACCAGATGGGTGTTGGCAAAGAATCAGGTAAGTGCTAATAGTACTGTGCAAAGTATTTTCTTTGCTTTAGTTTATGTTTTCCCTTCAGAAACCTTTCCTCTTTTAATTTTCCCTTTTTTCTAACTAAACAGTAAGTTGGAAAGTTGATTGGAAGCAGTACAAATCAGAAGGTGTCCTTAATTAGTAGGTTATTATTTTCTCTGAACGTCTATCACTGAAAATTCATTTATACCAGGAATTAATTTTCTTCTAATAACTCCCAAGATATATCATTATTTATGTGCAAATATACCAGAATCCAAAATTCAAAACACTTCTGGTCCGAAGGTTTTGGATAAGGAGGGATACTCAATCTTTATTAGGAAAAATGACATTTTTGATACAAATAAAATTAGAGAAAGTTAGAATTGTTTTAACTGATTGGAATAAACGTGTAATAATGGTTGTTTTTGAAATTTTGTCTCTAGATATTTACATTGTTGCAAATGAAGAAGGACAACAATTTGCATTAAAGCTTCACAGACTAGGAAGAACCTCGTTTCGAAATTTGAAAAACAAACGCGATTATCATAAACATAGGCACAATGTGTCATGGCTATATTTATCTCGTCTCTCTGCCATGAAGGAATTTGCCTATATGAAGGTATTTATTTTATTTTGTAGTCATGCATTTTTTAGCCAAATAATACATGTGTCTCAAAGGCCTTAATGACAAGTGTGATTCTGTTGTCCCCACATCTCTCTAACCTTAGACTCAATTCCTACAGACAGACTCAATCTTAAATAACTCTGTTGATTATTTGGGCTCTTTTAAGTGATTTCCTTCTACGTTAAGGTATTTTAAATTGTTACTAATGCATAAGGGCAACACATTCTGTAATGCTGACAAGATGAAAGAGCCAAAAGTAATTAATGATGCTGTTACCTCACAAATATGTATGTGTGGATGTATATATATCTATTCAATATATGTAACTATACATATGTCTGTTTCTAATTGAAAACACCAGGTAATTATCATCTGTAGAAACCTTAGTGTCTCAGATAAGTTGGCTAGTTTTTTGTTTCACATAAAGGAACAAACATTTATAGATTTATATGTATATTAAAAATGGTAAAAATTGGCTGGGTGCAGTGGTTCATGCCTATAATACCAGCACTTTGGGAAGCCGAGGTGGGCGGATTACTTGAGGTAAGGAGCCCAGCCTGACCAACAAGGTGAAACCCCATCCCTACTAAAAATACAAGAATTAGCCGGGGATGGTGGTGGCCACCTGTAATCCCAGCTACTTGGGAGACTGAAGCAGGAAAATCACTTGAACCCAGGAAGCAGAGGTTGCAGTGAGTGAAGATTGTGCCACTGCACTCAAGCCTGGGCAACAGAGCAAGACTCTGTCTCAAAAAACAAAAATGGTAAAAATCTTTAGTTTTTAAGAGGTAAGGATGAAGAGAAGTGGGTTAAAGGATACAAACATACAATTAGAAGGAATACATTCAATGTTTGATAGCAGAGTAGGGTGACTATAGTAAACAAAATGTATTGTACTCAGGAGATGAACACACTAAATACCCTGACTTGATGACTTCTCATATATACTTAACAAAATGTTACATGTACCTCATACATTTATACAAATAGAAAAAAATGCTTAACCTGGCAGATGAAATGTCAAAATCTCAAAGACGGTTTTCTCAGGGTTAGGCCTATTCATTGCACTTCAGGTGTGCTGACCCCTGCAGTTTCCCCAAATATTGGAACTTGACTGCATATTTTGTGGCACTGGCGGACTACATTTATACTGTCCCCTGACATTAAAAAAAAAAATCCTTTATTTTTAACTTTGCCTTCAAAATTAAGTTCAGCATAGATTGTTAAATATAATAATATCCAAATTAAATATATCCAACAATAACTAAGTTAAACAAAAGATAATATTGTGTTTTTATAATCCTGCCAGTAGGATTTGTCATAGTTTATCTTCATTTTTCAAAACAATGTGAATTAAAGATTGCTACAGTGTGTGAACACCTGTTTCTTGAGGATTCAGCTTGTTCTTTGAGTGGGTTATATACTTAAATTTTCACTAATCATGGGAGATTTCTTAAGGCAGCATAAATTAGTAATACTGATACCATACATGTCAATGTACTTCTTATACTAATAGTTTGTATCTTGTAATATTCAGTCAGTAAATGAGCAGCTTGGTAGGGATCATTTACACATTTTCCCAAAAGGGTAGTAGGTGTTTTTCAGGATATTTATATTGAAGGTATAGGAATGGAATCTGGTTGCACATAAATGCACTCCTTAATGTATTGATTATTCATAAGAGAGGAACAAGAAGATAAAGATTGGGCTATAGCATGAGGTCTAGGCGATAGCACAAGTTCTAGACAAATATTCACAATCTTTAAGTTTATCACGTGCTATTGATCTGTCTAGGTATGCTCAAAATGGTCTACACTGAAAAAAAGTATTTAAAAACAAAGCAAAGAAAAATATCTGGGAAGTGGGAAGTGGTTTGGTTCTTGTTCACAGAAGGTAAGCAATAGACAACCTTTTGAAATTAATTGCTGGGGTAGTGTAGGGTGAAGGAGTGGATGCCAAAGAAATAACCAGTACGATCTGTGTCTTAAAGTTGAGAAGATAACACATGAAACAGAACCTTTTATTTATTTATTTATTTATTTATTTATTTTCAAGACAAGGTCTCACTCTGTCACCCAGGCTGGAGTGCAGTGGCACGATCACGGCTCACTGCAGCCCCTACCTCCTGGGCTCAAGCCATCCTCCCACCTCAGCCTCCCAAGTATCTAGGATCACAGGCATGTGCTACCATGCCTGCTTTGTAGAGACAGGACCTTGCTGTGTTGCCCAGGCTGCTCTCAAACCCCTGGCCTCAAGAGATTCACCCACCTCGGCCTCCCAAAGTACCGGGGTTATAAGCGTGAGCCACCACTGCAAGTCTAAGAACAATTTTTTTTTTAATTATATACTGAATTTAGAGAAACTTCAGTAAGTGATAGAATAGTTGATGGAGGAGGTTTCAGGTAGTGAGTGGAGCTGAGTGGAGCCATGAAGCTTGGATATTATTTGACCCTAAGACAGTGCATTTTGGCAGAGAAGTGGTATGGGCAATGACATGAATCTATGTGAGTCCTATGTGTTTAGGTGACACTGAGGTGACTGTCCTGACTGCGTTTCTTGGTGTGTATTGGAGAGAATATTGGGAGAACTAGGACTGTACAGGTGGATTAAAGAGTTTTGAAAACCAGGAAAAGTTTATATTTACAAACTGAAAAGAAAATTTACAGCCAATGTAAAAAAAAACTTTTTTTGAGGTGTAGTCTTGCTCTATCACCCAGGCTAGAATGCAGTGGCACGATATCAACTCACTGCAACCTCTGCCTCCCGGGTTCACGCGATTCTCCTGCCTCAGCCTCCCAGGTAGCTGGGACTACAGGCATGTGCCACCACGCCTGGCTAATTTTTTTGTATTTTTAGTAGAGATGGGGTTTCACCATGCTGGCAGGCTGGTGTCGAACTCCTGACCTCAACTGATCCACCCGCCTCGGCCTCCCAAATTGCTGGGGTTACAGACGTGAGACTCCATGCCCATCCCAATGTATATATTTTTAAATGGAATATTAACATCAGCAGGTTAGTCTGGTATTGGTACATAGAATAGGTTAGGTATGATGGCAAGAGCTAGAACACTTGTGGAGTAATGAGGTATATGCCTCCTTACAAGTATATGTTGGTGCAAAAGTAATTGCAGTTTTTGCCATTCCTAATACTAGCATTCTAAATGTCAAAGGGCATAAATCTAAGGTATTTTAAAGAAAGTAATAACAGGGCTTTGTAAACAGTAAGATTGAAGACAGTAAGCTTAGGGGAAAAGATGTATGGAGAGTCTTAACACTTGAATCAGACTACAACAGTGTATATTTTTCACATAATAGATTTATATTGCATATTGTGGCCTGGAGAAAAAGTTCAGTGCCCTATAAACCAAAATGTCTGATCTCTTAGAATGCCTCATTTCCTAATATGTCCGAAGATGAGTATTTCCTAAATTTGTTTCCAATTTAAATATTTTGAGCACATTTCAACAAATGTCAGAGACTTACAAAATAGGAAAGGATATACCCTAAGAGACTGTAAGCTTCTTGGGGGCTTTTTGACACTAATTTTAGAGTGTTTAGAAACTTTTTAACATTCATTTTTGTAACCCCAGCACAGTGCATAACATTTTGTAAATGTTCATTTTTTGTGGAAAAGTGAATTCAAACTTTTGTTTAAAATTTGCTTTTTATGTGTGGCTAATTCTACGCAGTGAATAAATAAGCTATGCATAAATAACCATGTGTTAACTACAATTTTATAAAGGTTTGTGTGTTTTTTTTCTGGTTGTAGAAAGGTATATTTACTTTTATTGTTCTTTAAAGAGTAATGACCTGTTCATTAGCTTACACCTGTTTTGCAACATTTTAGGCATTGTATGAGAGGAAATTTCCAGTTCCAAAGCCAATTGATTACAATCGTCATGCAGTGGTCATGGAACTCATAAATGGTTATCCACTGTAAGTATTCATTATTCTTAAAGCCATGAATCCTGATAAATGAATTTAAGTTTCAGGGTTTTTAATAAAATTTTTTTTAGTTAATGAAATATTGCCTCTGGGAGGTTAAAATTTATTTAAAGGAATAGACTCAAAGACAAATTAAAAACCCAGTTTCATTCTGACAATATGAACTTTGTAATCTCTGTGATTCATTCATTCATTCAATATTAAGAGACTGTTAGGTGCCAGGAACTTTTAATCTCAGCAGTGAACAAAACAAAGTCCCTGCCCTCATGGAATTTACATTCTGATGGAAGGAGATGTGCAATAAATAACTAAAGGAAATGTATATCAATTGTTAGTAAGTACTATGGATAAAAAAAAGCAGAGTAAGGGAGATAGGAAGTACTAACGGGACAGGAGACTACTGTTTTATGTAGGGTGGTCAAGAAAAGTCTCACTAATAAGGTGAAACCTCATCAAATTTTGATTCAGATTAGCAGCTATTGGAGTGGGAGTATTTTGAGCAGAGAAGAGATGTGATCTCATCAATCAGTGATCTCAGTGTTTTCAGAGGGTCACTCTGCTTGCTGAATTAATAGACTCTGGGGAGACAAAGAATTAGGAAGACAAGTTAAGAGGCTATTACAATAATCTAGGCAAGAAATGGTTGTAATTCTGATTACAGTGATAGTTGTGAAGGTGATGAAAAGTGGTCAGATTCTGAATGTGTTCTGCAGGTTGAACCAACATGATTTGAGATTGGATATGGATGTGAAGGAAGGGATGAGTCAATGGTGACACCAAGGTTTTTCCCCTGAGTAGCAAATTAACTGGAAGGAGAAATCTACCATGTATAGAAACAGGAAAGCTACAGGAACAGCATTTTGGAGTTGGAGGGTGGGACAGAATCAGAGATTCCATTTTGGACATGCTAAGTTTGAGATGCCTGGGAGTTAGAGAAGTCTACATTAAAATCAGTGTATATGTGGTATTTAAACCATTAACCTAGATGAGATCACCAAGAATGAGTCTAAATAAGAGAAAATAAAAGGTCATAGGATTGACCTTTGAGGAACTCCAGAATTTAGAGGTCAAGGAAAAAGATGAAGTACAAATAGAAAAGACTAAGAAGGTATGATCTGTGAGGAAGGAAGAACACCTGGAGAGAATGGTGTCCCAAGAGTTAAGTGAAGAAAATGTTCAAAGAGGTCAACTGACAGACCACATATGATGAGGACTAAGAATTGACCTTTGGATTTAGCAACATTGAAGTCATTGTAGTCTCAACAAGGGTGATCTTGGAAGCACTTTGGCCTCCCAAAGTGCTAGGATTACAGGGGTGAGCCATTGCGCCTGGCCCGTACATGCTATTATTGATTCTGGATGTGGGTGTGTTTGTTTAGAATATAATCATTTTTTCATAATTTTTCAATTTTGTGATACTATTATTTAGGTCACTCACTGGTTTGAAGTGGCTAGTGTTAACGTTATAAAAAGCCTGTTTGAAATGGTATGAGAGAGTAGGAGGAAACAAATTGGAAAAGCACATGTAGACAAGTTTGGCTGTAAAGATCAAAGAAAGGTAGTAGTAGAAAAGAGATACAGAATTGAAGCAGTGTGGCTATTTTTTTAATAGATGGGAGATATTATATCTGTGTGCTGATGGGAATGAGAAGAAAGCTGCTGGGGATACACAGCATGGAAATAATATATATGTTCACATGCATACATACTTTCGTTAAAACCGTAAATGAACACAAGTAACCTATTTTCATGCTTAAAATACTTTCAGATGTCAGATACACCATGTTGAAGATCCTGCATCAGTATATGATGAAGCTATGGAACTAATTGTCAAACTTGCAAATCATGGGCTGATTCATGGAGATTTTAATGAATTTAATCTCATTTTGGATGAAAGTGACCATATCACCATGATTGATTTTCCACAGATGGTTTCAACTTCTCATCCCAATGCTGAGTGGTACGTACTTGCTATTTTTTTATTTTTATTTTATTTTATTTTTTTGGAGACGGAGTTTTGCTTGTTGCCCAAGCTGGAGTGCAATGGCGCGATCTCGGCTCACTGCAACTTCCACCTCCCGGGTTCAAGCAATGCTCCTGCCTCAGCCTCCCGAGGAGCTGGGATAACAGACATGTGCCACCACACCTGGCTAATTTTTTGTATTTTTTTTTTTAGTAGAGATGGGGTTTCTCCATGTTGGTCAGGCTGGTCTTGAACTCCTGACCTCAGGTGATCCACCCGCCTCGGCCTCCCAAAGTGCTGGGATTACAGGGGTGAGCCATTGCGCCCGGCCCTTACATGCTATTATTGATTCTGGATGTGGGTGTGTTTGTTTAGAATATAATCATTTTTTCATAATTTTTCAATTTTGTGATACTATTATTTAGGTCAGTCACTGGTTTGAAGTGGCTAGTGTTAACGTTATAAAAATTTGGTTTTTTATTAAAGTATAACTACTAGAGTTTTCCCCATAAGAATTTGAATTTCTCTGTTGTAAATTGACAGACGTTCAAAAGTCAAATTTTCTTAGCCATGGAACCCTTTGTTCAAACAGACTTTTAGATGGAAGACCAATTGTTAAAACAGGTAAAAGTAGGGAGTGTAGTGGGGAACTCTAGAACCACTTTTGTCTTTCCCTTTTTCTTGCTGTTCCATGATTGCCTCCAAGAGAGATTCACCAAGTATAACTCAGTAATCTCGATGATCTGAATAAAAGTTGTGGTTTTGGACTGGACTCAGTTGTCAAACCAGTGATAATTACCTCTTGTCACTTTTAGCTTTATTTATTAGAAAAAAAATCACATAAAACTTTATCTCTGACACAGTGCAGAATCATGATATACTGCGATAATCATATTCTTCACATTACTTATTTAAACCAAGCCAGCCAAGTCATGAAACAGGACCTTATCCTTTATTTGCTTGAGGTTTATGATTCAATTGAGTGTAACTAAGGATTTTTTTTTCTTTCTGTTCCAAGCTTTATGAGAAACTTTTTTCCTAAACTAACAACTAGTATCACTTATATAATAGAGTATATTAATTCTTCCAGAGATTGAGCTTGAAGTAGTTTTGTTAAGTGAAGCGTCTCTTCATCCTGGTTTCCAGTAGAAAATGTCTATACTTATGCTACAGAAAGAAATGTCATTTGAAAATAAATTTTTAAAACGTTTTCAACAAAATAATACTAAAAGATTAATGCCTGGCACTGGGGTGGTCAGTACTCTTTGGATGATGACTAATCATGATTTTTATTAATAAGGAGTAACATAGTCACACAGTAAAGGAACATCTAGGAGCCTCCAGAGTGTGACAGATTATGACATTCTAGGTTTAGGCTGCATCGTTCTATGGAGAGACATTGTGATTTAATTTCAATTTTTATGAACCAGTTCTGGGGCCAAGGAGCTGTGCTAATTGCTAGAGATTGAGATATAAATAACCCCTATATATGCTTTAGAAAATGTTACTGTCTCGTAGGGAGATGTAAACATATATAAAATAGTCTTTTTAAAATGTATTAGTATTTTTCCCAGAGTACCCTGTGAGCAAAGAGGAGAGGCATTATCTTCCTATTTCCAAACTTCATCTTTCTCAAAGAGAGTCAATTGCACATTATCCTGTCCTTAATTCTCCCTTGTCTGGAAATCTTCTAGAGAATTGAATCCATTTTTGCTGCTTTGTGGTGGCCCAAAAAGGCAGCCTGATATTCAGATATTGTTCTACTTTTGGTCCAGATTAACATGTCCTCAGATTATTTTTATAGGCTGTAGCATTATTTATCCCTTTGGGTGTTATTGCAAATCGGCTAATGGATAACAAAGATACATAAACATAATTCAGTAGTCTCCAAACTTAACTGTTTAATATTAATATCTTTTTATCGTCAGATCTTTCAGTTGGCTAGGGGTTCTAGTGAGTGTTGCTGATAAGAAGCATAGCCAGACTCAGGACGAACAGAATAAGTGGAAACCTATCCCCAAACCATAGGCCCATTATCTTATTTCCTGGGGTTCACATTCATCTTTCCCTAGTGTATCTAACTATATACCAGTAACTATGACAAAACCTTGACTTTCCTAACCGTAGGAACTGCATGGCATTGACAGCTTATATCCTTGAGATTTCCTTGGATTTTAGTTTTTCAAACACACTGGTTAACTCATTTGTATCTTTTTTCTTTTGTGTAACATCTTTTATCTCCTTGTGTAAGGAGGAGCAATACCATTAACCAATAAGTATATTGTCATTGGCTAATAAGGAAAAAGAGGAGCAATAAAGACTATATCATAAATGATTCTTGCTTTTGCAGGTATTTTGACAGAGATGTTAAATGCATTAAAGATTTCTTTATGAAACGTTTCAGCTACGAAAGTGAGCTTTTTCCAACTTTTAAGGATATCAGGTTTGTACTCCCCATTGCTTTACATAATAGAACAGTTTAAATATCTGGTCTGTGTATTTCTAAAAATTAACATTTTCATCTAAAAAACTTTCCAAATTTTGACACGTAATCACTGTTAGATGTCATTGCTCTGTAGTACATAACTGAAACTTAAAAACTTGAAAATACCTGCATTTGGTCCATTAAGGCACTGTTACTGAATTTTAGGAAGCGGACATATCTAGATTCTTATAAATTCAAGAACTTTTATTCTATTTTGGATGCTATTTGAGTAACTCATTCATAAGGAATAACACCAAACATTCATTGAAATTTGTGTTTTTCCTTTATCAAGGACCAGGAGGTATCTTTAATTGATTCTCAAAACATAACTATCATGTGCATTCTCAAAGCTCAGTTTTCTCATATTTATTTTATACACTTAAGATATTTTCTGATCTGGGATGAGTCACATAATCTGAAGGAAATCCTTAGCCCCCTTTGAAAGTTAATTTACAAAGTTAATAAACATAAGCTGAGGTTTTTATAACCTTTTTATTTATATTGTTGCTTTTCAGTTATTTTATTCTTAAAATGACAGCCAGCATATACCTTTCATATTTGTTTACCTGTGTCATTTAAATATTACATTTTAGGGAAGGAAAATTTATTTTTAACATATAAGCTATTAAACTCACTTGAATCATAATTTATCAGAGTAGTAGATATTTGCTCCTCTTAGATAAACATTTTTTCTCTCTTTCTATGCTTGACGCCTTTTTTTTCTAGGAGAGAAGACACTCTTGATGTGGAGGTTTCTGCCAGTGGCTACACAAAGGAAATGCAGGCAGATGATGAACTGCTTCATCCATTAGGTCCAGATGATAAAAATATTGAAACAAAAGAGGGATCTGAATTCTCATTTTCAGATGGAGAAGTGGCAGAAAAAGCAGAGGTTTACGGGTCAGAAAATGAAAGTGAACGGAACTGTCTAGAAGAATCAGAGGGCTGCTATTGCAGATCATCTGGAGACCCTGAACAAATAAAGGAAGACAGTTTATCAGAAGAGAGTGCTGATGCACGGAGTTTTGAAATGACTGAATTCAATCAAGCTTTAGAAGAAATAAAAGGGCAGGTTGTTGAAAACAACTCTGTAACTGAATTTTCTGAGGAGAAAAACAGAACTGAAAATTACAACAGGCAAGATGGTCAGAGAGTTCAAGGAGGAGTCCCTGCTGGCTCTGACGAGTATGAAGATGAATGCCCTCATCTAATTGCCTTGTCGTCATTAAATAGAGAATTCAGGCCTTTCAGGTATAGACTTCTGTCGATTGCTTTTTAACTTTAGTCTTGAGACTGATACTTTGTTAGATTCTAGTAAAAGAATGTTTTTTTCAAATGATGTGACAAAATTGTATTCTGCCACCTTGATGTATAAAATGAAAGCCAAATAATTTTTTGTTGTTAAAAACTCAAAATAGCTTCCTTTTCAATTGACCTGATTCTAGGCAGCCTATTGACTAAATTTCAAGTAATTCTGCCTTAAAATACAAACTGATGGCTGGGCACAGTGGCTCGCTCATGCCTGTAATCTCAGCACTTCTGGGAGGCCAAGGCAGGCAAATCACCTGAGGTCAGGAGTTTGAGACCAGCCAGGCCAACATGGCAAAACCCTGTCTCTACTAAAAATATAAAAATTAACCGGGCATGGTGGCCTGTGCTTGTAATCCCAGCTACTTGGGAGACTGAGGCAGGAGAATCACTTGAACCTGGGAGGCAGAGGTTGCAGTAAGCCAAAGATCGTACCACTGCACTCCAGCCTGGGTGACGAGCAAAAAACTCCGTCTCAAAAATATATATATATATACAAACTGATGATTTTAAAATTATTGCAGGTCTCTGGATACATTGATCAGGTTTTAGATGGATGAGTTATTCCTCATATATTTTCCTAATTACACATCTGATGTGTGTTTGAGTTATGTAAAGGCATGTAAATATTAAAACATGCAATAAATGTACTTTCTATATGAAACATCTGCAGTGAATTTTCTCTAGTACCTTGAGCCTTCTATCCTTTGTTCATGTGTAGTTAAAATTATCTAATGATATTATGTTTTCTTTTAATAATTTTTTTTTGTAAATATTAATCAGGCTCAGCTTAGATTAGGAAAAGTTCTAAAACTTAATTTTTGGATTTGGGATTGCTTATTCAGAATCAAATTGTAGTTAAATGAAATATTGGTTTTATTTATTTCAAAATAGTAATATGACAATTAAAATTAGTTCAGCAATACATTTATTAAACATTTTTCAGTACATGTTTGGGCTTATATCTTAAGCCTACCTTTATCTTTAAAGTTTTATTCCTGAAGCAAAACATGAGAATTTTGTTCCTTTTTCATATAGCTGTGTATCTGTGTCACAGGGCTACTGCCATTTAAATAATAAACTTGGAAAATTAAATCAGAAGCTTAAAAGGAAAAGAGGGGTGACAGAGGCTCAGGATTTTGAGTAAGTGATTGTATTAGACTGGATTCTTCAAAGAAACAGAATAAATAGGAGATTTATTTTAAGGAATTAGCCCATGGGGTTATGGAGGCTGAGAAGTCCCAGGATCTGTAGTCAACAAGCTAGAGACCAAGGAGAGCCCATGGTACAGTTCCAGTCCAAATCCAAAGAGCTAAGAACCAGAAGAGACAATAGCATAAGTTCCAGTCCACATCCAAAGAAAGGAGAGGACCCATGTCCCAGTTCAAAGACAGTTCTCTCTTACTTTGCCTTTTTGTTCTCATCAGGCCTTCAATGGATTGGATGAGGTCCACCCACACTGGGGAGGGCAATCTGCTATACTCAGTTTATTGATTCAGAAACGCCCTCAAAGACACACCCAAGTTAATGTTTAACCAAATATATGGCACCCTGAGGCCCAGTCAAGTTAACATATAAAATTAACCATCACAGTGATAGAAGAAAATCTATATAGGATTAAATGGTCTTTTAAACTCAGAATGGGAACAATAATTTTGTTCCCACTCTGGATACATGCTGGGCAAAACTTCCATTCAAAGTAAAAGCAGAACAGCAGATGTTGCTGAAAAATATTAACTGTTAGGAGTTAATATCGTCCGAGTTTTTATACATTGCATATATTGAAACTTTGAGCCATGTGAAAAACATTAGTCTCTAGGTTGCAGATTTTCCTACCCTAGTGGAGCTGACTATAATGAGTACTGTCTGTTTCCATTATATCTTCTGTTTGTGAAGGTGGAAAGAGTCTCAAAAATTTAGATAGGGAGAGACAGATTTATATAGTTCAGTGAAAGAAGAGGAGAGGATTATTAGAAAAGGGAAGATGAATTGTGGGGAGGTGATAAATTTCAATGGCTTAAGCATTCTACTGTTTTTAAATTTTGATAGTGACTAACAAAATGCTGGAAAATGAAAATTGTTAATGTATAGAACTTAACAGTAGGTAGTTTTATCTTCACAGAAATTTTAAAATATAATGATCTTTCTGAAGTATTTTATGTCTTCAGTTTTGCTGCATGCAAAAAATAATATAAATTAATCAAATGGGATTCATTACATTATACAAATTAACTAGATAAATTGTGGGTTTTTTAATTTTAGAGATGAAGAAAATGTGGGAGCTATGAATCAGTATAGAACAAGAACTCTGAGTATCACTTCTTCAGGCAGTGCTGTAAGCTGTTCAACAATTCCTCCAGTAAGTAGTCATTCAACATGTACTGAATGTTTATTACATCACTACTGTGATCTGATTGCCTTGTCTCATTAAACAATAATGTATGCCTTTCAGGTACAGACTTCTGTTGATTGCTTTTTGACTTGTCTTGAAACCAGTACTTTCTTTGATTTTAATAAATGAATGTTGCTCAAAGGATGTGGTAGAGTTGTGTCCTGCCACCATTATGTGTAAAATGAAGGCCAAATGACTTTTTGTTGGTAAAACTCAAAACACCTTCTTTTTCAATTGTCCTGATTTTAGGCAGCCTGTTGACTAAATTTCAAGTAATTTTTTCTTAGAATACAAACTGATGAGTTTCAAAAAATTAATGTAGGTCACTTGATAAATTGATCAGGTTTGAGGTGGATGAGTCATTCTTCATATGAGCTGAAGATTAATGAGCTTGGTCACTGTGAGGATTATAAGGTGTGTAAGCCTCAGACACTTGGACGTACATGTTAATGGTATAAAATTTTGTTGTTGTTGTTTGTTTTTGTTTTTGTTTT
Source organism: Homo sapiens (assembly GCF_000001405.40). Lineage (NCBI taxonomy): Eukaryota > Metazoa > Chordata > Mammalia > Primates > Hominidae > Homo > Homo sapiens. Next base: position 97,164,523 of record NC_000005.10, on the reverse strand, counting down.
TTTTTTGAGATGGAGTTTTGCTCTTGTCATCCAGGCCGGAGGTCATCCAGGCTAGAGTGCAGTGGCATGATCTCAGCCCACTGCAACCTCCGCCTCCTGGGTTCAAGCAATTCTCCTGCCTCAGCTTCCCGAGTAGCTTGGATTACAGGCGCCTACCACCATGGCTGGCTAATTTTTGTATTTTTAGTAGAGACAAGGTTTCACCATGTTGGCCAGGCTGGTCTCGAACTCCTGACCTCAGGTGATCCACCCACCTCAGCCTCCCAAAGTGCTGGGATTTCAGGCGTGAGCCACTGCGCCCAGCCATTTGTACTTGGATATAAGTACAAATTTGGCCGGGCATAGTGGCTCAGACCTGTGATCCCAGCACTTTGGGGGCCAAGGTGGAAGGATCGCTTGAGCCCAAGAGTTTCAGGCCAGCCTGGGCAACATAGCAAGACCCCTGTCTACAAAAAATTTAAAAGTTAGCCAGGTGTAGTGGTATACACCTGTATTCCCAGCTACTCAGGAGACTGAGGCAGAAAGATCACTCAAGCCCAGGAGGTTGCAGCCACCGTGAACTGTGTTCCTGCCACTGCACTCCAACCTGGGCAACACAGCAAGACCCTGTCTCAAAAAAAAAAAGAAGACCCTTGTTCCTGGCTTTGCAGAGTTTTGCAGCTATCTTCTTTTTTAGGAGAAAAGTTGAATGATACAAGGTTATATACAGTTATTAAATAACAGACTGTAGTGCTTCAGAGAAAGAAAAGGTCATTGTGAACTGAGTATTTCACATTTCTTATTCATCTTGTAAGTCATGTGACTTGCACAGTGTATCTTAACTGATAAGTAACTTGAATTTATGATCAAAAGACATATGAAGACTTTTCCATGGGTGATTGCTACCATCAGGTCAATTCTACAGCTGAAACTGTGAAGGCATTCTTGGATATATTCAGCAATACTGAATGCTTTCAAAAATAATTTTCTATACAAAATCTACTCTAAAAGCCTACTTTTAACCTAAAAAGCAGAGGAACAAGCAGTTTCATCTTGTTTTTTCCATCAGTTTTCATGATGGACACTAGGTGGCACTATGGTAATTTTTTAAAAATTCTGCCTATACACTATATTTTTTGCTATATAATCTGTATTTCTGTTTGGAATTTAATTTCTCCTATATAACAGTTTCTATATAGTACTGTCAGTGTTTGGAATCTTAAAATTCATGGTGTCAATATATAAATAGAACAGATATTAGCAGTGTACTTTTTGAAATGGTTCATTATCAGTAATACTAATTTATGAAATCTTTCCAGGAACTGGTGAAACAGAAGGTGAAACGTCAGTTGACAAAACAGCAAAAATCAGCTGTCAGACGTCGATTGCAGAAAGGAGAAGCAAATATATTTACCAAGCAACGTAGGGAAAACATGCAAAATATCAAATCAAGTTTGGAAGCAGCCAGCTTTTGGGGAGAATAATATATTTAGGATCTTGGATATGTTTAATATATTTTTTAAAGTTACTGTAATTCCTTTTTGAGCCCTCATTTGTCTTTTTTGAGCCAAGGCTATCATATATTAATAAATAAACCCTCTTTCATCTATAAATTTGGTCATTCAGTATGTGTCTTGCAAAGAATAATTACCTGCCAAAGCAGTCCATTTTTTTCAAAGTAATTTGGGTAACTACAGTTACGTAACTTTATTAGAGACATTTGCATATTTTTAAAAATCTAAATAACATTTTTGTTGTTTTCTGTTTGTTGAGGATGATATGCTACAATGCACATAAAGCAATTAGAACAATGTTTAGCACATTCTTAAGCATTCAATAAAACATGGCTATTAGAATCATAATGATTCTGAAATTCTGCTGACAATTTGGTTGCATTTTATTTGGCAACTGGAGGACTTCACTGTCTTATTTTTCTTTAGAAGTAAAGATAAGCCTTTGGAAGTAAAGATAAGCCAGTGATGCACAATTTGCTTAATTAATTGATTAATAATCTGTTTTGTGCCACTTACATTGGTAATGTGGTCATGAGAATGGAAACTTACTTGAGATAGTCTACCACAATTTTTACAGTTGGCAGCTTGTAAGCAGGCCTGAGTAGCAGAAGAGTTAGGGGTTGGGGAAGGTGGAGTAGAATGAGGAATGAAATGTTCTTTCTCATATGCTTATTATATAAGTGGGTCCGGAACATGTTCTCACCTCAAGGTTAACAAATACCTAATGCAGGAAAGAAAATACATAGCCATGGTCCCTTCCTCAAGGACTTTATAATTCAGTGAGATGTAAAGATGAGTGCTTAAGTGTATGCACCTGATTATTGTCTCTTCATTGCCGCATAAGTCGGAAAAGGGGATCACTTGCAGCGAAAAATGGCCACTAGATGGCAATATCACCCCATAGTCACCAAACAGGATTACTTGCATCCCTAATTATGTTCTACCAGAGGGAATATAGTACAGACTTTTCCAAGATTGATAAAGACAGCAGATTCCCTTTCACCTTTGCCAAATTAACTCTACTAGCTATTTGCAAGACCTGTAATTATCTAATAAATTGGCTTAAATATATAGAAGCTAGAAAATGCCAATTCCTCTTCCCTCAAAAGTTACCTGACATTCAAATATTTAAATACCCTTGCTTTGCATTTTAGATATATCTTTGAATTCAGGTATTCATTTTGTATAATCTCTCAACTTTTAAGCATTTTTATAATGTAAAGTTGAAAACAGCTTAATAGAACCACAGAATGTTTATTTTGGAGTCATTTTCTTATATTCAGAGCTATGAAAGCAAATTGGGAATAAAGCCTTATCCTGCTCAGCTTTACCTAGTTGACTCAGTTGACTTTTGAGTATCTACTACATAAAAAGCCCATTACTATTAAGAAACTCAAGACAAACATGATTTTTACCTTTAATAGCCTAAGATTTCTTGTGGGCCAAGGAATTAATTATTCCAATCAGAAATGGAGGCCTTACCTCATTTGGGCAAAGATTAGTGCTAGTTATTGAAGATTTACTAATAAATGATCTGTTAAGGAATTTAGTTTTTTTTGGATATGTTGTTTTGGTTGTTGAAAACTAAGGTATAATTATAATAGTTATTTTTTGAAGATATGTTTGGCTAGCCATCAATTAGAAGTTAGAGAGTTTGTCCTAACAGATAAGCTATAACCCTCACATTTTAAAACATGCATAGTGAACAATGAACAAAAACAAATTCAAAATTTTACTAATGTAAAGCTGTATATTGTGATTGTTAAAACACTTTTTTTTGCCTAGGAGTTCCAGATTTAAATCCTGGTTCTACACTTCCCAAACCTCAGGTACCTTCTGTGGCCTCTCTAACCTCAATTTTTTTACTTGTAAAATGGGGACATTTAATAGTATACCTCAGTGTCGTGAAGACTAAATGAAGTACCACTTGTAAAGAGTTTATTACAGTGCCTGACATATACTGTATGGTTAGTACTGCTAAAATGACTTCTTAAGGTTACCAAAAGGAAAATTCCACAAGCTGACCACCTTTCCTATTGTGATGGTCACTGGTATTTCAGCTATGATCCTTTGTTGTGTATTTATCCAGACTGAAAGATGTTTTTCTAGTAACCATCTTGCATCGTCTTAGTCTCCCCATTAAATAAACTTTTCCTACAAACTATGCGGTTTATATTTGTGCTAACTTTGTGGTATTGATAGCCATTGGTCTGTTCTTTGGCACATAGCTGGCTATCTTTGAGGTTTCTCCAAAACCATAGATGTTTAATGGATACTAATCAGAGTTAGTGCAGCTCGAGATAATCATTCTTTTAGCCAACTGCTTAGTAAATTTTCTGACAAAATACATAGCTGTCTAATTAAAAAACTCTGCCTGATGCTGCCTTCCAGGTTGCTACTTACAAAGGATAGAGGGATGAGTTATGTTAGGTTCTCAGAGCACTTTCTGAAGTGTAGGTTTATTTCACTGTCACAGATTCAGCACTCTGGGTGGGCTACAGTTCGCCATGCCCAGTCTTCTTTATCCCTCCTTAGAACATCTCCCTAGAGAGCATCAGGCCATATCTTAATTCGCCCTTGCTTTAGTTTATGAAGTACTGGAGCCATCTTATGCACCTGTGTAAGGAGGCTGGAGATTAAAGTTCAGAAAAGCCATGGGTTACACAGTTGTGTAATAACCAGGAGTATGGGGATAACTCCAAAGCTACAATACTTTTATAGAGAACTGTGTCATTCACAAAACCTATGTTGTTAGATTTTAAAGACTGCAAGTTTTTCTTTTACCTTAATATTGTAAATAATGACATTAAAAATATTAACATTTTGCAGTAGAGGCCGAACAAGATGACCAAATAGAAACCTCCACCAATCATTCTCCCCACAAAAACACCAAATTGAACAACAATCCGTATAAAAAAGCACTTTCATAAGAACCAAAAATCAGATGAGAGATCACAGTACCTAGTTTTAACTTACCACTGAAAGAGGCACTGAAGAGGGTAGGAAAAACAGTCTTGAATTGCTGATGCCACCACTCCCCCATCCCTTGGCAGCGGCCACATGGTGTGGCAAGAGAATGTGCACTTGGGGGATGAAGAGTGCAGTGACTGTGGGACTTTGCATTAAAACTCAGTGCTGCCCTGTCACAGCAGAAAGCAACACCAGACAGAACTCAGTGCCCATGGAGGGAGCATTTAGACCAGCCCCAGCCAGAGGGGAATTGCCTGTCTCAGTGGTCAACACCTGAATTTTGGCAAGACTTGCCACCACAGGCCGAAGTGCTCTGGGTCCTAAATAAGCTTGAAAGGCAGTCTAGGCCACAAGGACTGCAATTTCTGGACAACAAGTTGGGCTGGGCGTGGAATCAGTGGACTTGGAAGACACATGACTTAGTGAGAAACCAACCAGGCTGGCCAAAGGAGTACTTCAGCCACCTCACCCAGTTCCACACAGCACAGCTTGCAGCTCCAGGACAGACTACTTCCTTTTGAGGAGAGGAGAGGAAAGTAGAGAGGCCTTTGTCTGGCAGCTTGGATACCAGCTCAACCATAGTGCACAGGGCAACAGGCAGAGTCTTGAGGCCCCCACTTCAGGCCCTACCTCCTGGACAACATTTCTAGACACACCCTGAGCCAGAAGGGAACCCACTGCCTTAAAAGGAAGGACCCAGTCCAGGCAGGATTCATCACCTGCTGACTAAAGAGCTTTTGGGCCCTGAGTAGTGAGCAGTGATAGCCAGGCAGTACTCACCATAGGCCTTGGGTGCAACTCAGAGATGTGCTGGCTTCAGGTGTGACCCTGCATATTCCCAGCTGTGGTGCCTACAGACAGAGACTCTTGCTTGAAAAAAAAAAAAAAAAAAAAAGGAGAGGGAAGAATAAAGGGGACTTTGCCTTGCACTGTAAGTACCAGCTTGGCCACAGTGGAGTAGAGGACCAAGCGGGCTTTTGAGGTCCCTGATTCCAGGCCTTGGCTCTTGGACAGCATTTATGGACCTTTTCTGGGCCAGAGGGGATCCCACTGCCCTGAAGGAAGAGTCCCAGGACTGCCAGCACTCAACACAAGCTGACTGAAGAACACTTGGGCCTTGAGTGAACACTGGTAGTAGCCAGGTGGTACTCACCATGGGCCTCGGGTGGTGGTGACCATGGAGAGAGACTCCTTTGCTTGTGGAAAAGGGAGGGAAGAGTTGGAAGAGCTTTGTCTGTGGCTTGGGTGCCAGCTCAGCCACAGTAGAATAGAGCACCAGGTAGATTACTAAGGTTTCCAACTCCAGGCCCTGGTTCCCAGATGGTATCTGTGGGCCTGCCTGGGGCCAAAAGGAATTCTGCTACCCTGAATGGAAGGCAACTGATTGTAGGGTCCTAGGGCCTTGAGTGAACGTAGGCAGTAGCCAAGCAGTGGTTACTGCAGGCCTTGGGCAAGACCCAGTGCTGTGTTAGCTTCAGATCTGACATAGCACTGTCCCAGCGGTGGTGGTGGCCACAGAAGTGCTTGTGTCACCCTTCCCCCAGTTCCAGGCAGCTCAGCACAAAGAAAGAGACTCCATTTATTTGGGAGAAAATAAGGGAAGAGAGTAAGTCTTGCCTGGTAATCTAGAGAATTCTTCTGGATCTTATACAAGACCACCAAGGTGGTACCTTTATGAATCTGCAAGAGCCATAGCATTACTGGGCTTGGGGTACCCCCTAATGCAGATACAGCTACAGTGACCAAAAAGTTAAATTATGACAACTAAGTCCCTTCAAATACCTGGAAAGCCTTCACAAGAAGCACAGGTACAAACAAGCCCAGACAGTGAAGATTATAGTAAATACCTAAATCTCATACCTAGACATCAATGAACATCCACAAGCTTCAAAACCATTCAGGAAAACGAGACTCCACCAAACAAACAGAATAAGCCACCAAGGACCAATACTGGAGGGATAGAGATATGTGACCTTTCGGACAGAGAATTCAAAACAGCTGTTTTGAGGAAAATCAGCAAAATTCAAGAAAATAGAAGGAATTCAGAATCCTATCAGATGAATTTAACACAGAGACGGAAATATTTAAAAATAATCAAGCAGAAATGCTGGAGCTGAAAAATGTAACTGACATACTAAAGAATGCATCAGAGTTCTTTAACAGCAGAAATGATCAGACAGAAGAAAGAATTAGTGAGCTTGAAAACAGGCTATTTGAAAATACACAGTCAGAGAAGACAAAAGAAAAAGGAATAAAAAAGAATGAAACAAGCCTACAAGATCTAGATAATAGCTTCAAAGGAGCAAATCTTAGAGTTATTGGCCTTAAAGAGGAAATAGAGAGGGAGATGGGGTAGAAAGTTTATTCAAAGGGATAATAACAGAGAACTTTCCATACCTAAAGAAAGATGTCAATATTCAAGTACAAGAAAATTATAGAACACCAAGCAGATTTAACCCAAATAAGATTACCTCACGACATTTAATAATCAGACTCTCAAAGGTCAAGGATAAAGAGAATCCTAAAAGCAGCAAGAGAAACAAATAATTTAAAATGCAGCCCTAATACATCTGGCAGCAGACTTCTCTGTGGATACCTTACAGGCCAGGAGAGAGTGGCATAACATATTTAAAGCGCTGAAGAAAAAAAAAAAACTTTTATCCTAGAATACTATATCCAGCAAAAATATCATTCAAATATGAAGGACAAATAAAGACTTTCCCAGACAAACAAAAGCTGAGGGATTTCATAAACATCAGACCTGTTCTACAAGAAATGCTAACAGGAGTTCTATCTGAGAGAAAAGAGCATTAATGAGCAATAAGAAATCTGAAGGTACAAAACTTACTGGTAATAGTAAGTACACAGGCAAACAAAATATTATAACACAGTAATTGTGCTGCCCATATCTTGCAGAGAAAGAATAAGAGCTGAACCAATAAAAAATAATAACTACAACCAGTTTTCAAGACATACACAGTACAATAAGATATAAATAGAAAGAATAAAAAGTTTAAAAGTAGGGGGACAAAGTTAAAGTGTAGAGTTTTTATCAGTTTGTCTTTTTTGCTTGTTTGTTGGTTTATGCAGTTAGTGTTGTCATTGGTTTAAAATAATGGGTTATAAGATATTATTTGCAAGCCTCATGGTAACATCAAATAAAAAAAGGTACAACAGATACACAAAAAATAAAAAGCAAGAAATTGATACATACTGCCAGAGAAAATCACCTTCACTGAAAGGAAGATGAAAAGGAAGAAAAGAGGAGAGGACCACAAAACAACCAGAAAACAAATAACAAAATGGCAGGTTAAGTCCTTAGTTATCAATAATAACATTGAATGTAAATGGATTTCACTCTCCAATCAAAAGACATAGAATGGTTGAGTGGATTTAAAAAAAAAAAAAAAAAACAAATGATCTGTTGCCTACCAGAAACACACTTCATCTACAAAGATACAGATAGACTGAAAATATAGGGATGGAAAAAGATATCCCATGCAAATGGAAACCAAAAAAGAGCAAGAGTAGCTATATTTCAGACGAAATAGATTTTAATATAAAAACTATAAAAGGCAGTCACGGGTCACAATATGATAAAAGAGTCAATTCAGCAAGAGGATGTAACAATTTTAAGTGTATATACACCCAACACTGAAGTACCCAGATATATAAAGCAAATGTTATTAGAGCTGAAGATAGATAGAACCCAATACAATACTATCTGTAGACTTCAACACTCCACTTTCAGCATTGGACAGATTTTCCAGATAGAAAATCAACAAAGAAGTATCAGACTTACTTTGCACTATAGACCAATTTCATCCAACAGCTGCGGAATGAATACACATTATTTTCCTCAGCACATGAGTCATTCTCAAGGATAAATCATGTGTTAGGCCACCAAACAAGTCTTTAAAACATTCAAAAAATGAAATTATATCATGTATCTTCTCTGATCATAATGGAATAAAATCAGAAATCAATAACGAGGAATTTTGAAAACTATACAAACACATAGAAATTAAACAATATGTTCCTGAATAACCAGTGGGTCAATGAAGAAGTTAAGAAGGAAATATTAAAATGTCTTAAAACAAATGATAACAGAAACACAACATACCAAAACCTATGCAATACAGCAAAAGAAGTACTAAGAGAAAATTTTATAGCTATAGGCACCTATATGAAAAAGTAGAAAAAACTTTAAACAACCTAACAATGCATCTTAAAGAACTAGAAAAGCAAAAGCAATGCAAACCCAAATTAGTAGAAGAAAAGAAATAATAAAGATCAGAGCAGAAATAAATGAAATTGAAATGAAGAAAACGATACAAAAGATCAATGGAACAAAAAGTTGATTTTTTGAAAAGATAAAAGTGACACAGCTTTAGTCTGAATTTTAAGAAAAAAGAGAGAAGAGCAAAGTAAGTAAAATCAGAAATGAAAAGGGAGACATTACAATTGACACCACAGAAAGTCAAAGGATCATTAGAGACCACTATGAACAACAGTATGCAAATAAATTGAAAAATCTAGGAGAAATGGACACATTCCTAGACACAACCTCCCAGGATTGAACTATGAAGAAATCCAAATCCTGAATTAACCAATAACAAGTAACATGATTGAAGCCATAATAAAAAGTCTCCCAGCAAAGAAAAGCTGAGGAACCCATGGCTTCACTGCTGAATGTTACCAAACATTTAAAGAAGTACTAACACAAATCCTACACAAATTATTCTGAAAAATGTAGAAGGAAATACTTCCAAACTCATTCTGCAAGGCCAGCATTACCCTGATACCAAAACCAGAAAAAAACACATCAAAAAAAGAAAACTAGAGGCCAATAGCCCTGATGAACATTGATACAAAAATCCTCAAGGAAATACTAACAAATCAAATTCAACAACACGTTAAAAAGATAATTTATAATGACCAAGTGGGATTTACCCCACGGATGCAATGATGTTTAAACATACACAAACCAATCGTGATACATCATATCAACAGAATGAAGGACAAAAACCATGTGATCATTTCAATTGATGCTGAAAAAATAAAGTGGATGAAATTCAATATCCCTTCATGATAAAAAAAAAACTCTCAAAAAACTGGATACAGAAGGAACATACCTCAACATAATGAAAGCCATATATGACAGACCCACAACTAGTATCATCCTGAATGAGGAAAAACTGAAAGACTTTCCTCTAAGATTCGGAAGACAACAAAGATGTCCACTTTCACCACTGTTATTCAACATGGTTCTGGAAGTCCTAGCTTGAGCAATCAGAAAAAAGAAGGAAATAAATGGCATCCAAATTTGAAAGGAAAAAGTCAAATTATCCTTGTTTACAGACAATAAGATCTTATATTTGGAAAAACCTAAAGACTCCACCAAAAAACAAACTCTTAGAACTGATTTTAAAAATTCAGTAGTCGCAGGATACAAAGTCAACATACAAAATGTAGTAGCATTTCTATATGCCAACATCAAACAATCTGAAAAATAAATCAAGGAAGTAATCTCATTTACAATAGCTATAAATAAGTTAAAATACCTAGGAATTAACTTAGCCAAAGAAGTGAAAGAACTCTATAATGAAAACTATAAAATATTGATGAAAGAAATTGAAGAGGACACCAAACAACTGGAAAGAGAGCCCATGTTCATGGACTAGAAAAATCAATATTGTTAAAATGTCCATACTACCCAAAGCAAGCTAGGGATTCAATGTAATCCTTATCAAAATACCAATGACATTGTTCACAGAAATAGAAAAAACAATTCTAAAATGTATATAGAAACAAAAATGCCCAGAATAGCCAAAGCTATCCTGAGCAAAAAGAACAAAACTAGAGTAATCACATTATCTGACTTCATATTGCTGAAAAAATTAAGTGGATAAAATTCAATATCCCTTCATGATTAAAAAAAAAACTCTCAAAAAACTGCATACAGAAGGAACATACCTCAACATAATAAAAACCATATATGACAGACCCACCAACTAGTAGAGCTACAGTAACCAAAACAGCATGGTACTGGCATAAAAACAGACATATACACCAATGGAACAGACTAGAGAACCCAGAAACAAATCTGTACATCTATAGTGAACTCATTTTCAACAAAGGTGCAAAGAGTATACATTGGGGAAAGAACAGTGTCTTCAATAACGCTGGGAAAACTGGATCTCCATATGCAGAAGAAAAAAACTAGACCCCTGCCTCTTACCATGTACAAAAATCAAATCAAAATGAATTAAAGACTTAAGTCGAGGACCTCAAACTATGAAATTACTACAAGAAAACATTGGGAAAACTCTTTAGGTCATTGAAATAGGCAAAGATTTCTTGAGTAATACCCCAGAAGCACAGGCAACCAAAGTAAAAATAGACAGATGAGATCACATCAAATTTAAAAGCCTCTGCACAGCAAAGGAAACGATCAACAAAACGAAGAGACAACCCACAGAATTGTAGAAAATATTTGAAAACTATCCAACTGACAAGGGATTAATAACCAGAATAAATAAGGTGCTCCAATAACTCAATAGGAAAAAAAATTTAGTAATCTGATTTAAAAATGGGCAAAAGATCTGAATAGACATTACTCAAAAGAAGACATACAAATGACAAACAGTTGTATGAAAAGGTGCTCAACATCATGGATTATCAGAGAAATGTAAATCAAAACTACAATGAGATATCTTCTCACTCCAGTTAAAATGGCCTTTATCCAAAAGACAGGCAAGAACAAACACTGGGCTGGGCACAGTGGCTCATGCCTATAATCCCAGCACTTTGAGAAGCCGAGGCAGAAAGATTTCTCAAGCCCAGGCATTCAAGACCAGCCTAGGCAACATGGCAAAACCTTGTCTACAAAAAAAAAAAAAAAAAATTAGCCAGGCATGGTGGTGCATGCCTGTGGTCCTAGCTACTGGGGAGACTGAGGTGGGAGGGTCACCTGAACCTGGGAGTTCCAGGCTGCAGTGAGCTGTGATCATGTCACTGCACTCCAGCCTCTCCAACCTGGGTGATAGAGTGATAGAGTGAGACCCTGTCTCAAATTAAAAAAAAAAAAATGCTGGCAAGGATATGGAGAAAATGGAACCCTCATACAATGTTGGTGGGAATGTAAACTAATACAACCACTATTGGAGAACAGTTTGGAGGTTCCTCAAAATCTAAAAATAGAGTTACCATATTATCCAGCAATCCCACTGCTAAGGATATACCCAAAAGAAATAAATTCGTATATTGAAAAGATATTCGCACTCCCATGTTTGTTGCAGCACTGTTCATAATAGCTAAGATTTTGAAGCAACCTAAGTGTCCATCAACAGATGAAGGGATAAAGAAAATGTGGTACATATACACAATGGAGTGCTATTCAGCCATAAAAAAGAATGAGATCCTGTCATTTGCAAAAACATGGATGGAAGTGGGGGTCATTATGTTGAGTGAAATAAGCCAGGTACAGAAAGACAAACTTCACATGTTCTCACCCATTTGTAGGAGCTAAAAATTAAAACAATTGAACTCAAGGAGGTAAGAGAAGAACAATGGTTACTAGAGGCTGAGAGGTAGGGTTGGGAGAAAAATGGGGATGGTTAATGGGTACCAAAGAATACTTAGAATGATTTAGACCTAGTGTTTGATAGCACAACAGGTTGACGACAGTCAATAATAATTTATTATACATTTAAAAATAACTAAACAACTATAATTGGATCATTTGTAGCACAAAGAAAGGGTAAATGCTTGAGCTGATGAATTCCTCATTTACCCTGATGTGATTCTTATGCATCATATGCCTGTAGCAAAATATCTCATGTATCCCATAAATATATACACCTACTATGTACTCACAAAAATTAAAAATAAGAAATTTCTTAAACTAACATTTTATATAACATTTACACTTAATTGCATAAGTAGAAGTATGCCTCATATTTAAAATATTACTTGGGACATTTATTACAAGACTATGTCCTTCTAGATTTTAAAAAAGAAAAGATAACTATTTGAAATAAATGAATCACCAGGCATGGCATGTGCCTGCAATTCCAGCTACTTGGGAGGCTGCGGTAGGAGGATGGCTTGAACCCAGGAATTTGAGACCAGCCTGGACAACATAGTGAGACCCCCAAATCATTTTTTTAAATTAAAAAAAAAAAAACTTTAAAAAAAAGAATTAAAAAACCCTCTTACTATAATGCTACTGTTGGCTGAAGAGGTTTGGCCTAGATTAGGAAGAAAATGTACATGTTCACACATCAGTAATTCAAGTGTGTGGGGTATATAAAGTGATATTGGGGAGGAGAGTACACAGATTTTCTTTTTTTTACGATAAACTTTTGCTGGCTTGGAGGCCGCCCCTGTTTTTTTTGAGAGACAAGAATAAACACATGGAACAACTACATGACAATATAGAGAAGGCTGTACCCAAGAGCCTGGTATCACTGATAATTGCTGGGGAAATTCCAAGCACAGTCTGAATGAAAGGGCAGCATAATTTGGTGAATTGTTTTGGGGAATGAAGGTTTGGGTGAATAGGTGAACTAAAAAAGAAAACTTTCAAAGAGGAAATCATGCAGAAAATTCAGAAGACAGAAATGAATGTCGTGTGTTTGCTGTGCTGTAATTGGGAAAATGGTGTTTTGGTGTTGTGAGAGCAAAGGGCCAAATTCAAGCTTATTTTGAAATATTTTTTAAAGTTGATTATTAGGAAAAAGTGACTGTAGATTTTGAAAAAATACTGCAGAGTATTTAAAAAAAATTTTTTTTTTTAGAAACACGTCTTGCCCTGTCACACAGGCTGGTATATGTGGTACATATACACAATGCAGTGCTATTCAGCCATAAAAAAAAGAATGAGATCTGGTTATTTGCAACAACATGGCTCACTGCAACAAAGATAGCTCACTGCAACCTCAAACTCCTAGGCTCAAGCAATCCTCCTGCCCCAGCTTCCCCAGTACCAGGGACTACAGATGCATACCACCACACCCAGTTAATTCTTTTTTTTTTTTTAGAGATGGGGTCTCACTATGCTCCCCAGGCTGATTTCAAACTCCTTACCCCAAGTGATCCTCCTGCCTTGGCCTCCTGAAGTGCTGGGGTTACAGGCAGGAGCCATAGTGCCCAGCCCAGTGATTTTATTTTAATGAGGAAGGAGTGGGGCTAAGGGAATTAGTCTGTTGATGTTAGAAAGGGTTTGAGGGAATTTGGAATAGAATCTAAAATGTTGCCCAGTTAGTAGACTAAATATTAAGGCTGAGACAATCTGAAATAGAACCTTATTCTATTGGACTTGTAGTTACAGTGATTCTCTATCACCTTGTTCTTATTTTAGGGATGAGAAAATATCTTTAGATGTAAAAGTACTTGCTCAAAATCACATAGAGTAAATAAGGGGTGGAAGGAGTGGGAGGAAAAAATGTAACTGATAAGTACCAAAACGGTGAATGGTAGGAAAACCAGCATATTCCAGTGGCCTAAGGCTTGTATTCAGCCTGGGAGTCTCTTCTGCAGAGTCTTGGAGGCCCATAAAATTTGACTTGCCCTCCTGGTGCCATGGAAGTATGAGAGAAGACAGTATTCACAACCAGGTTTTGATTCCATCCTCCATCAAGTTTTCTCACTTTTTAGAAAACAAAGCTTTTTCCTATTACAGGTCTTTCTATCTTCTCAGTGTACACCCAAGAAAACCCATCGCAATAGACAGAAGCCCTTAGTGGAAGATTCCTGGGTTTTTGTTTTGTTTTGAGGGCAATGCTGGGGGACTGCTTTCTTTTTGGGCTCAAGGCTATTGAGATACCTTGAGAAGCTCAGAAGAAAATATACTCTAATTTGGTCTTTCTCCAATTTTCAATTTGTGGACAAATAGGTCCCTCTTTCTATGCCGTGTCTTATTTCCCCTTTAAACAGATTTTGAAGAGAAATAATGCTTGTTCTTTTTTTAAAATTTTTTTTACCGCACAACACTCCTTTATGTTTCTTCTTTGTCAGCAGAATGCATGCTAAGTGTAGAACTCTAGTGGCGACTGCATAGGAAGTGAAGTAGAAATTATAGTTTACAGTGTGAAATGGATGGCACAAGGCTTTTATCTTAATGTAAGCATATCCATAAGTGTAGCCTGGATTGATTTAAGAGTATACTGATGATGCAATCTTTACAGGAAGCTTCAACTGAAATATATGGAGCTGTGAAATTACTAGGTTGCTTGAACCCAAAATCTCCATCAACTAATCTTAGGCTTATATCATTTGTTTAAACCAATAAATAGTCTCCTAGGTATTTTAAACTAATAATTTTTGCATAGTCTAGATTTTCCTTTTACTTTGCTCATTATTTTTGCAGAAATTTAAATATTCTATATGACTTACACCCCCAAGAAATGTGACTTTCTAGGTAACCCATAGAAGGGGTGTGTGTCTCATCCCTTGGCTTGCCCCTTATAGAAGACCTCTTCTCTCTTTATTTGAGGAGTAGCTCAGAAACTCAGCTGGAATTCAAATGTCTCTTTTAGAATCAATCTGATCACTTTACAGCCACATTTTGTATAAAGTTTTTTCCTATGCACCCAATGATACAAATTTCTGTCCTGGAAAGGGTGTGTGCTATCTGAGAAAATGGAGAGGAACCAATAATTAGATAAACTTTTATGAAAGAGAAAATATCATTATAAAGGCCACTAGCAAAATCCACTCCAAAAACAAACCGAAATTGTTTTAACTATCTTTTTAAAAATACATATTAGGCTGGAAGTCAGCCAACCATCGTTAATAAGCTCAGTTATCACAAACGACATCCAGTGACCCAAGGGCTTGGCATCATTATCTCCAATCTTGTTAAGTTTGAACATCCAAATTCTCCCACTTAAATAACTCTGAGTTTATCCTTAAAGTGTTAACCTGTGAACTAGCAAAGCCTCCCTCAGTATCTTTGACCTCTGAAGTATTTCTTGAATAATCAATTTTACTCCTCTCAGAGACCAAATACCAAGACAGCTCTGGGTAATTGGTTATATGAGACCATCAAGATAACATGGACCTATTCAGGGTCCCCGTATATATACCAATCAAAAAGCTGACATAAATGAGAGGTTGAATTTCATTGTGCTTTATGGTTATGAGAGTTGACTTTGCATTGGCAAGGAAAAAGAGCAGTTTACTAGTGGTTTTTTCATAATGTTCTATAAAACTGAAGAAATGTACATTCTTGTAATCTGGAGATGAGATATTAATCAATTTTCTAGTTATTTTTCATGTAGTTCAACAGATTAGTTCCTATTAATGAAACAAGTATCTAGGATAAAGTTCTTTTATGTTACTTGTATTTGTAAACTTTTGCCTAGAAACCATCTGAAGTTGCCTTTCCAACTCACCCTCTCAATAAATACCTTGATTCAAACATCTCATTTGTCCCTTCCAAGCTGACAGTATATAAATTAGCACTGCAGCCGTTCATTCTTTTAACTTGTTCTTTCCCAGCTGAGAGTAAACAAAGTTGATGCTATACAGCCATTCATTCCTCCTACTGCTCTCTTCCTAGTTGAGGCTAAACAAAGCTGACACTAAACAGTCATTAGCTATCACCTCTGCGAAGTCAACTTCTTCCCAGCCTTTCTTCTTCGTCCTCCCACACACCCTTAGAAACACTCCTGACAACAGCTTTGACCCTCTTTTGCCAATTCTGCATTTAGACCCTTCCAGTTCCTTCCACTCATTTCCCATTAGAATCTGAAAGGAGCTGTTGTCAGTCATTTCCCGTTGTTTTCATAAACTATTTGTTCTCCATATTAAGGCATTTAATGATTTGATTCCAATTCCTTTTCATTTGATCTATTTTATCTTAAATTGTACATTTTTAAGAATTAGAAAGTAAGTGAAGAAATTATTTCAGGATAGATAATCTTCCTAAATCTCAATCAAGGTCCACTCCCTCTCTCAGTCACCTGATTCACTAGAGATGAGTAGTATAAGTCATCTCAGGCTTAGTTACTGCAGGCTTATTATTTAAAGCCTGCATGTCTTGAACTGAAATCTCTTGAGGACCTGGAGTTTCACTAACCTCACCTGCAGCCTCACCAACAGGCCCACTCTCCTGTTTCAATTACCTTAGCTTCTTCCTCCAGAGCAGAGTACCTTATGGCAACATGAGAGAGTTCCTTCTTGTTTCTAACTGAAGATGATTCTTCAATGTATCCATTATATTTTCTAACATTCTGCAGGTTATTTTAACAAATGGCCCCTACCTTCTTATCATTTTTATAACTGTAATGAGCCATCTAACAACAAAACTGTTACTGGAATTAAGATCTCAGCTCACTGCAACCTCTGCCTCCCAGGTTCAAGCAATTCTCCTGCATCAGCTTCCTAAGTAGCTGTGATTACAGGCATGTACCATCACACCCAGCTAATTTTTGTATTTTTAGTAGAGATGGGGTTTCACCATGTTGACCAGGCTGGTCTCAAACTCCTGACCTCAAGGGATCCACCCGTCTCGGCCTCCCAAAGTGCTGCGATTATAGGCATGAGCCACCATGCCTGGCCAGGAATGAATTTTTTTTTACCAGAAAAATTATTATTTCCATCTACTTTTTTGTTGCATTATGCATAAAATTATGCAAAATATACCACCTTGATTTCCCATCTTGAAGAACTCTGTTCTCTCTGGAAGATTGGTAAATGTGCTATTTCCCTGAGCCTTCTTCTTACCATTGGGTGGTAAGTTTTGATCACTGAATATGTCAGTTGTATGTCATTTCTCATCCTCTGATTAGTACACTCTGACAAGATTTGTAAAAACATCATTTTGGTTTTACTTTGTTTGAATACTTTTGTTTTTGGTATATGCCAACAGATGGTTGAGGTTTACACTGAAATCTAATGTGAACTTTAGAATTTGTGCTAAAATAGACACACTATTCAGGGGTTTCTCAGGTTCTTCCATCTCTATCAGATGCTTCTTACATCAAATAAAGAATAGTAAGAAATAGTTGTTTTTCTAGACTATCTTACAATAGCATTTTAAGGTAAAAAGTCTTTATGGGCATTTAAGAAGGAAATGCATAAACAAAGTTTTAAGAAAACTTCTGCTGAAGGATTGGGCTTAATAGGAATGAAGAAACTATGCTATCTAACTGGAATGTTGTATAATCCACCTTTCTTAGAATTCCTTTTTCATTTCTCAAAATACAACTCATTAAAAATCATGATATTTATACGGACTTCTCTTCATGAAGCTGTTTTGGAGCTCTCCATGAAGATGCTCAATAGTTTGCTTTTTAAAGAAAAACCTTATGGAAATTGAAGATTAGTTTTCTTTTTTTCTTTCTTTCTTTTTTTTTTTTTTTTTTTTTTGAGACAGTGTCTCACTCTTGTCACCCAGGCTGGAGTGCAGTGGCGCGATCTCGGCTCACCGCAACTTCCGCCTCCTGGGTTCAAGCAATTCTCCTGCCTCAGCCTCCTGAGTAGCTGGGATTACGGCATGCGCCACCAAGCCCAGCTAATTTTTGTATTTTTAGTAGAGATGGGGTTTCGCTATGTGGCCAGGCTGGTCTCGAACTCCTGACCTCAGGTTATCCACCTACCTCAGCCTCCCAAAGTGGTGGGATTACAGGCGTGAGCAACTGCACTTGGCAAGAAGATTAGTTTTCTCAACAAATTCTTACCTTTCATTGTAATTAATATTAGAAGTGAACATCTTTGAATTCCTCATATTGATTTGTGTCTCTCATACTGATGAATGGATAACAATCAGATTGACTGTGGGAATAGAAGTGATTTGTTTGAAGACCACTGCACCCTTAGGAAACAAATATATGAACTTACAGAAGGCTAAAAAATCTGTGATAATATTTGTGCTCATTTGTAATACAGGCATAGAAAAATGTATGTTAGAACTGAAAGAGAGCATCCAGCTTAATCCCTTAATTTTACAGAAGAGGACTCTGAGCCCAAAAATGAGTGGCTTCTTTAAGGTTATATAGATAATGAACATGAAACCCTGGTCTTAATGATCCCACGTTCAGTGTTGCTTTCACCAAAATGCAACCAAAATATTTTTAAATACTGCTGGAATTATATTTAAGCATATAGAAATGCCCATTTATTGACTGAAATCCAAACATTTCTTTTTTTTTTAATATTATCAGGCTTACTTCTTTGAGAAGTCCATATCATTTTTCTTGGTTCTCTAGTGGTGATATTAAATATCTTGGTTTTCAATTCAATATCACATTGAAAGTACTTCATTTATACTTTGTGTCCAATCAATGGATAATAGCTTTTTTGTCCACAAAGCATCTAATTTCTGTTTTAGATGATAAACTCCTGGACAGCAAGGACATTGACAATTTCCTATTTGGCACAGCTCATATAAAGTGCACTTTGGGACCCTGTTTAAAGAAAATGTCTTAACATGAAGGGCCACTTCTTTCAAGTTCTTATCTTATACAATGTCTTTGCACTCTGGGGCAACCCTGTGTCTGTGTTCTGTGTGGCATATACTCCCTGCGGGCATTTGCTAAGTGATAGTCATGATATGGTTTGGCTGCGTCCCCACCCAAATTTCATCCTTTTTTTTTTTTTTTTTTTGAGACAGAGTCTCACTCTGTTGCCCCAGCTGGAGTCCAGCAGCACAATCTCGGCTCACTGCAACCTCTGCCTCCCCAGGTTCAAGCAATTCTCCTGCCTCAGCCTCCCGAGTAGCTGGGATTACAGGCATGCACCACCACGCCCAGCTGATTTTTGTATTTTTAGTAGAGCTGGAGTTTCACCATGTTGGCCAGACTGGTCTCGAACTCCTGACCTCAGGTGACCCGCCTGCCTCGGCCTCCCAAAGTGCTGGGATTACAGGTGTGAGCCACCACACCTGGAACCAAATCTCATCTTGAATTGTAGTTCCCATAATCACCACGTGTGGTGTGAGGGACCTGATGGGAGGTAATTGAATCAGGGGGGTGATTACCCCCATGCTGTTCTCATGATAGTGAGTAAGTTCTCATGAGATCTGATGGTTTTATAAGGAGTTTTGCCTCTTTGCTTGGCACTTCTTCTTCCTGCTGCCATGTGAAGAAGGATGTGTTTGTCTCCCCTTCCACCATAATTGTAAGTTTCCTGAGGCCTCCCCAGCCATGCTGAACTGTGTGTCAATTAAGCCTCTTTCCTTTATAAATTACCCAGTCTTGGGTATGTCTTTATTAGCAGCATGAACTAATACAGTGAGTATAATAGGAATTATTATTCTAGTTCGGTTCCATCTATTTCCTTTTATGAAGCCTGCTCTTCTACAAACTAGCTGAAGAAGCTGATCACATGGAAGGTATTTCATTTTTATACAGTCTTTAAAGGTCTACTTTCAGTTCATCATAAAATACAACCTAGTTATGGAATCTGAAAATTGGAAGAAACACTGGAAAGCAATCTTTGTGGCTACCCTGGAAAAATATTTTAAATAAAAGTTTGACAATCCTCAACAACCTCCTTCAACAAGTAACATTGGTTACAACCACTAAAATTAGTTATTTTATATCTGGTATAAATCCTTATTATGGAAAAGGAATCCTGTGACTTATATTTATGTCTTCTATGGAAAGATTATTTAACAAAGTGTTACAGGTAGTATAGATCATGAATAGGTAGAAAAAGAATTTCTGTTTTCTTAAGATCTTTAAAGGCCAGGCATGGTGGCTCATGCCTGTAATTCTAGCACTTTGGTAGGCCGAGATGGGTGGATCACTTGAGGCCAGGAGTTTGAGACCACCCTGGGCAACATGGTGAAACCCCCTCTCTACTAAAAATACACAAATTAGCCAGGTGCGGTGGCGTGGGCCTGTGGTCCCAGCTACTAGAAAGCCTAAGGTGGGAGGACCGTTTGAGACTGAGAAGTCAAGGCTGCAGTGAGCCCGGATCATGCCATTGCACTCCAGCCTGCATGACAAAGTGAGACTCTGTCTCAAAAAAAAAAAAAAAAAAGGATACAGCTAGGGACTAAATTAAGCCTTGCATTTGAATTCAGGAGCCACTCTTCTGGAAGCCAAGGCTTGTTACCCCCCACAACCCTCCCAAATTTTAGTCACTTCTATTGGGCAGGGGCAAGTAAAACCTGACAGACTGTCTTACAGCTTGCCTGGGAACATTTGTTTCCCTATTTACCCTTCAAAGTGAATCATTCCCAAGGTTGACTTTAATTAATTCTGATGTAATTCACTTCCTTTCACTTAATAATTATTAAAAATTTCAGGGCAGGGTGCAGTGGCTCACGCCTGTAATCGCAGCACTTTGGGGGCCCAGACAGGATGATTGCTTGAGCCCAGGAGTTTGAGACCAGCCTGGGCAACACAGTGAGACCCCATCTCTACAGAAAATTTAAAAATTAGCCAGGCGTGGTGGCGTGTGCCTCCCAACTACTTGGGGTGCTGAGATGGGAAGATTGCTTGAGTCCAGGGCTCAAGCCCCTCACTTGAGTCAAGGCTGCGGTGAGTTATGATCACGCCACTGCACTCCAGCCTGGAGGACAGTATGAGACCCTATTAAAAAGAAAAATAAAACAAAGAAACAGGACGAGAAAATACATATATGTTTCTTAAGGTAGTTATTGAAAGATTTTTTTAAAAAATTGAGACAGGGTCTTACTTTGTCACCAAGGCTGGAGTGCAGTGGCACAATCTGGGCTCACTGCAGCCTCGACTTTCCAGGCTCAAACCATCCTCCTGCCTTAGCCCTCCAAGTAGCTGGGATCACAGGCATGCACCACCACACCCAGCTAATTTTTGTATTTTTTGTAGAGTTAGGGTTTCGCCATGTTGCCCAGGCTGGTCTGGAACTCTTGGGCTCAAGCGATCTGCCCGCCTCAGCCTCCCAAAGTGCTGGAATTACAGGCATGATAAACTGCACCCAGCCCCATAATCTTTATAGCACTCCTTTACCAAAGAAGAATTACACTGAAAATTTAGATTTATAGGGATTATACTGTTAACATATAGCTGGCAGTCCTGAGCTGGAAGCTGTCTTGTCATTCAGGAAATTTCCTGGAGAAATAACCTTCCTGATTCCATATTCCTGGGGGCAACACAATTGAAGATGGAGGGCCAGAAGAAATACTCAAGTCAGAAAGCTGCACAGCATTCAGACAAAATCTGGTTGGAGAGGAAAGCTGTTTTCATAATTTAGCGAGCTTCCCCAGCTAGCCTGTAGGTGGGTGTGTTTAACAGAAGAAAGCAATGGGAACCCGCCTGTCAGCCAGCCTTTCGAGCTAATTAGCTCAGCATACAACAAAGATAAGTGAGCCTGGGAAGAGGGCCCCCTGAGGGGTCTTTAGATTCTGGGAAATGTCTGATTGGCAGATGTTAAAAGGGATTCCTTGGTAATCCAGTGCATCAATGAGCTGCAGAAATTCAGCCCAGGACTGCAAGAATTCAGGCATGAGGACACTCTGTACAGGAGGCTCACACAGGCAGACCCAAGATGGACAGAACCTTGGAATCTCTGAGACACATCATTGCCCAAGTCTTGCCTCACAGAGATCCGGCTCTAGTCTTCAAAGACTGTAAGTACTGAAGGGGGAAAAGTTTTTTGACTTTTTAGAAAATAGTCCTAAACGTCAAGTCACATCCTATTTAAGTAAGATTTCTCCTAAATCTCTGCAGTCGTATGCTGTGTTCTAAGTGATATTTTAACTTGTTCCTGACTTCAGCCAGAAGAACGATTTCATTTCACCTACAGGCATTAGGCACTGGGTTATTCTGTCAGTGATACATCTTGCTAACTACTTAGAAGTCTCTTCTACAATCCAAGACCTGCCTAAGACTTAATGAACTTTTTCTGATGCTTTTTAAGTAAAGCAAAGCTGACTGGTGTTGAGATTAAACCTAAAAATAATTTGGAAATGATACTAGAATATATCAATATTTGTTAACCTGTTTAATACTCCACAACACATATTAGCTATGTTAATTCAAGTATCGTGTTTGTCTGAAAATATTTGTTGCAAACCAGAATTAACAGTAAATCACCACTGAACTTTTAAATTTTGATAACAGATTATAATGCTTTAGTTAAAAGGCCAATAAAATGAGATGCCTCCTAACCTCAGCAACACTCCCTGTGTGGACCCCCTACCACCATCACCAATTTATACAGCATGGCAAAGTTATTTCAAAATCTTTTTTTTAATGATTTAAAAATAATTCAATCAAGATTTCCAATTCTAGCAATACTATTAAACCATTTGTCATATAACTTCGTTTCTGGAACCAATTTGATTTCCTGCTGCTGCAAAACAGACTATCTTCATGTTGTATCTTATCTACAGTGGGTTTCATATTACAAAGGGCTTCTGAAATAGAACTGCCCAAAAGGTAAAATGCATATGGAATTTTTTTTAACTTCAATAGGTTGCAGCTTTCCTCTTTGTGAATCTAGTTGTGTTTGTCTCCATCAAAACATCAATGGTTTGAATTTTTGCTTTCTGATTGCTGAATAACGTTCCATTCCAGATGTCCTCTTAGCTTAGATTTCTCATATGTATGTTGAAGAAAGAGGAATGTTAGGCCATTTAATTCTATAAATTTTTCCTCTTAGATGTTAAATTGTAACCAATCTGTCCTTTAAGGCATAAAGTGAAAGCCTTTTCTTTCTCTAGCTCTCTTTTTAAATATTGTCTTTAGGCATTTGCCAATAACTATGTTAGATCTAATAAAAATCACTCTCTCCACTACTCTAGCCTGGAGTCTATTCAGGTTTGTTATGTTTTTTAAGCGAAAAGGGGAGGAAAGAATGTCTCTCTCCTACAATAGAACTGATTCACTAGTGAGGGATAAAAGGGCTCTCGGGCTGCCCAAGCTTTGGATAAATTGTATAGGACCAGGGTTCTTATGCTGAGCATTTAAATAGGGGAAGCAGTTAAAAAAAAAATAGGGGGGACGTTTTTCACTGGCCCATTGAAAACTTAATAAGTTCAAATGTGAAACTGTATAGCTCATTTTTTAGCTGAACTAAATTGCTGCGATTGTTTACAGTTTAGAAAAGAAGATAGACTAGAAAAAGGATTACAATAAAGCATACATTAAGTTCTGTCATCCAGGACTTTGCAGGACTTCTTTTATATGGGAGAACAAATAAGTGTCCTGTTTTATATATTTCATTCATTAACATAGAACCTATATTTGACCAGAGAGCATTGCCTGTTTACCCTAGAATGGACTGCTACTCGGCAACTGCTTGCATGGCTTAATAGACGTGAATATTAAACTGCCGATTCTCTCCCTTCTTTTCTAATCTGAAAAATGACTAAATGACAGTAAGCCAAATGGCACATTTCTGTACCAGGAGTTTTCCTAACTTTAAAACATCCAACCACTTACCAATCTCGTGGAATAAGTGGGAATGGGCTGCTTACTTTCTGGGACAGGACATTAAAAGTCTGTCTGGAGCCTATGCCATTGCCCTGGCAAGCTGTAGGTGCTGCACACGCCAGAGTTTGGCATATGGTCCCATTTTCTTTGGCATACCCATAAGTTGCTGCCACCACACTCCTATTGGCAGCCTGTAAAAAGCTGCCACCAGCCTTGAATGGCAGGTTCTGAGCAGTCCCCTCTCCTCCTAGTCACTGCTGGCTCCTCCTCCACTCTAACCTGCTCCAAGCTCTTTCTGCCAGAAGGAAAGAGCTGAGCACTTGAGCACATCACTGCCAATTCCTTAAGAAAAATTGCTACCTTACTTTCCTACAAGATGAAAGCTGATCCAAGAATTTTTAAAACCCAGCCCAGTTGAACAAAAGAATAAACACACACAAACACACAAACACACACACATGCACACACAAAACACTTTTAAATTTTTTCTTAATTTATCTTCCATGAATGCAAACACAGTTTTTCTCTCTTCACTCTTTGGTTATACATAATCCAGGGAGTGTAAATGATCATGCAATTCATTTATTGCCCTCAGTTGGCTTTTGATTTGCTTAAAAACAAGCAATAGTAACTGAATTTTCTCTTCAAGTTGGTTAGAAAAAGCACCCAGAGAGTTTTCTGGTCTGAAACAGATGCACATGGGAATAGTTACATTCATTTAAAGAAATAAAATTCAAATGCTTTCTCAGATGAGGAAGCTCTTCAAATGGTATTTTGCAATACATTAAACCTGTCATTTTATTTTATACAAGGCGTTCATCTGGCAATAGTTGTGATTTGTTTCTTTTTTTATTTTCTCTTCTAGAAGGAAATAAATTCCATAACACTTTTTTCCTTTTCCCTATTTCACATTTCATATGAAAAATAATGGAAAGAGGTTTTAAATAAGATGGACTCCCAATTTGAAATTTGTTCATCTAAGCTGACACTGGACTGTTCTCCCCTGCATAAATGTCTCTATTTTAAAACAAGTAGCACTGGAAGTCTCCACACTACCAGGCAGAATCTCTGCAAAGTATAGCTTGTCTCCATATTGCTTTCCATTCTTGGCTTTGTGCAATATCCAATTTCGTTTCATGTGTCATGCATCACAACCAAAGCTGAGCTATCCTAAAAGCAGCCCCTGTCCACTCTTTTGAAGAAGTGTGTTAACTTACTATTCATTTGCCACTGTTTGACAATTCCTTGCGTACTTTCTCAAAAGAAATCACCACATGACTTCAAGATAGCTATGCTTTCAGATCCTAATCTGAGTGTTAACTCTTCATATTACAAGAGCACAATACATTTATCTGCCATCTTTGAGCTCTTTCTTCAACCATTTAATAGTAAGGCTAAGACATCAAGTCCTCATCATGTGATAGGCACTGTACTAGAAACATTTATTCTTCACAGTAAGCTAGTAATGTAGGTACAATTGTTGTTAGAGGTGAGGAAACTGAGGCACACAGAGGTTAAAATGACGTGCCCAAGGTCACTCAAGGTCACACAGCTAGTATGTGATAGAGCCAGGAATCAAATTCTGTCTTCCAACTCCTTACCTTGAAACACTATGAGACATTGCCTCTCAGAAGTGCTAGTTACCATGTCATTAGTGTTGTAATAGCAGTACAGGTTGAGTATGCCTTATCTGAAATGCTTGGGACCAGAAGTGTTGTAGATTTCAGATTATTTTTGGATTTCAGAATATTTGCATTATATATACTTTAGCACCCCAAATCTGAAAATCTGAAATCTGAAATGCTTCAATGAACATTTCCTTGGAGTCTCATGTCAGCAATTAAATGTTCTGGATTTTGGAACATTCTGGATTTTAGGTTTTTGGATTTGGGATGCTCGACTTATATCTGTTAGGAAAACAGAGGGGAGAAAAAGGAACTCTACCAGGAGCATAGAGGGAGCCCATTAAATAATCACATTTGAACAGAAGTGTGACAAGAAAGTGGTGAGGGGCAGATAATTTTTGATGAGATAGAACAGCTTGTCCAAAGACAAACTGGGCAATACAAGAACCATGTGCTGGGGGAGGCAGAGACAGACTGAGGAGGCAGGTTGGGTCATGCTGACATGCCGGCAATAGGGAGCCATTGGAGTTAACAGTAAATTAGTTCTGGAAGTTTATGGCCTTATGTTGCGTTGCGGAAAAGTTTATATTGACATTGGTTAGAGGTACACATCCGAATACCTAAGTTAGGGAACACTGCAGCTTTTTCTTAGCAAGAAACCATTTGCCAACTCAGACAAGATGCAAGATTTGTAAATGTCAAACATGCCTATGAGGAGAAACCACTTTCACTGACTGAAGGCCAAAATCAGGGCAAACTTTCTCAAAAAGATTGTTTAAAAAGTATCTTAATTGTCACTGTAGCCATGAGAATGAGTTGGTTTCTAGCATTGACTTATGAAGTGACATGTAAGATTTCACTGAGATTTTTTCCCAAATTTTATAATGAAAAAGTAAGATGGATCCTTTACTAAGCGTTGAAAAATTGGAAGCAAATTTCTCACATATTTGAGGTGCATTAACTCTTCCATTTGGGAGAACATTTTTCTGCATGAAAGGTTTTATTTATATCAGATAGGTGAATACTTTACTTCAAAGAGTACGTTTTTTGCCCTTTGGAAAAACTGGACCAGACTACAGGGCTATTAAAAACATCTTAGTAATCATGAATCTAGCTATATGCAGCATGAGAGAGCAAGAATCCTCAGGAGTCAAGTACTTTATCCACCCCATGCTTTTTAGTACAGTTATGTGAAATCAATAAATTTATAGTTTTCACATTTCACAGAAAGGAATGGAGTAGGATGTAAAGGCTGAAGATTCTTGTGCAGTAAAATCCCTATACATATTGCATTGCATTCCACCACCCCTGAAAAAATACAGTTTAAAACCACAAAAAAAAGCCAAACAAAAATAAACCCTATAGTGCTTGCTAGCTTATTTTAAAATAATGAGTGCATCTTAATTACAGTAATTTGAACTCTGCTAATTTTAGCATCTAAACTATGGATGTCTGTTTGACTGAAGCCTATTCAAATGCTAATTTTACTTTATTTATCATAGGGCCTAATTATTTTTATTTGAATTTATACTAAGGAAGAAATATAAATTTTAGTACAGCTATCAATGGCATAAGAGCTGGTTCTTTTTTTTTTTCAGTAAATATACATTTGACAGAGTTTAAAGTTAAATGTATAAAAGTCTCAACCCTAGAAGACAGGTTTTCAAACTGGAAAAAATAGGTAGCTTCTTGATCACTTTATGGCTTTATCTGTCCTAGTACATTTATTTCTCATAGAAAAGTAAGATTTAACAGATCAAAATAAATATGATAGACACCTATCCTGTGAGATCAAATCTGGGACCTCTTCATTGACTGCTCTCCCATCTCACCAGAGGTCTTTGGTGGTGGTTGCTGTTGTTTTTAACAGTTAAGATTTGTTAGTCTGAACTCAATTTTAACAACTTCTGAAACTCATGTGTTAAGTTACAGCCCATAATAGGATACAGATGCATAAGGGTGAGTTTCTAAGTTATGATCTTCTGTTTAAATGACACGGTTTTACTGATTATGTGCTACAGATTGATTTAAGAAATGTAAGACAACTTTAGAAGCCTTTCATAAAAGAATCTTCTTTTTGTAATACATTTCATATTGATGTTTTAACCCCAAACACTCTTACTTCTTTTCCTCCATGTTCAAATGCCCATGTAAGTTTAGTCTGTCAAGGTAGTTAAAACATTTCTATTTTAAAAGAAAAAAAAAAGAATCCTATTGAAAGATTGACAAAATAGACAATTATTACACTCCCCATAGTTCTTTATATTTTTTTCTCTAGTGTCCATGAAATGTTTGAATTATGGTTTCGGTTTTTTTTTCCTCCTGCGATGATAATCAGTTGATCCCTATTTTGATCTCATCCCGTTAAGCAGCTGTGAGAAACCATCATTTCGTCACCACTCCTTTGGCACTTATGGCCTGTGCTATTTAGTTTACATTTCCCTCATGTGGCTCTGTACTAAGTGTTACAGCTTCAATGTGGTGTTTTTGTCCACACCTAAGTTGTAAGTTCCAGGAGGGCAGAGCTGTACCTTGTACTTTTCTGTAACCCCCAGGTAACTCCCACAGGAACACACACCTAGCAGTGCACAATCAGACATTTTTGGATTGCCAATGGTTGATTTTTCTTCCTCGCATGAAGGGGGTAAGATTCTGCCCACTGTCAGGTGTTCTCCTTTACGATGAAATAAACTGTGCCAAGACCCTTTTAAGCCATTTATCTTCTGACTCCATTATCACAGGCTAATTACATGCAGGGTTAAGTTGATAGCCAGATGATACAGAAGACAGCATCAAGAAAGTCGGGGCTCTAAAGACAAACACACCCTCTCGGCTAGAGCTCTGCCTTGGGTTGGCCCTATCACACTCTCTCAGAATCATTCCATATGCCATGTTGGCACAATGGCTTAAATTGCCCATCCTTACATTCATCCATTAGATCTACCCCCGACTGTGAGTCACCAAAGTCATGCACGCACCATGCTCTTTAGAGCCAAACTCTGTGCCTTGTGCATAAACCCTGGTTAGATAGCTGTGGCAGGATCTTGAGCATTCTTATAATGACTGTTTCCAGGGAAGGAAGATGCATTACACAAAGCCACATTTACACTTATTTGACCATTTTGACTAAGAAGAACTGATCAGCAAAGCAACCAGCATGACTAATCCTTTATTGGTTGTCTAAAATCATTGGTCCTCTAAAGTCTCTTTTATTTATTTTTATTTTTTTATTTTTATTAATTTTGAGACAGAGTCTCGCTCTGTCACCCAGGCTGGAGTGTAGTGGCATGATCTCAGCTCATTGTAACCTCTGCCTCCTGGGTTCAAGGGATTCTCCTGTCTCAGCCTACCAAGTAGCTGGGATTACAGGCGCCCACTACTGCACCTAGCTAATTTTTGTAATTTTAGTTGAGATGAGGTTTCACCATGTTGGCCAGTCTGGTCTCAAACTCCTGACCTCAAGTGATCCGCCCACCTCGGCCTCCCAGAGTGCTGGGATTACAGACGTGAGCCACTGCGCCTGGCCTAAAGTCTCTTTTAAATACAGTGCAATGTCATTACCCAATAGAATGTGAGAAAGATATGTACTTTCTGATTGGATAAATAGGGTACATCAGGCTTCTATTTTATGCAGCTTTTGAGATTGAATGACATCATCTGACCCAATGTGCACATATAAACCACATATGTGGAATCAGGCATGCTGCTTAACTATGGTATACTTAAAAACTTTTTAATTTGTCTTTGTGATTCCCTCTTACACCTTCATTAATTTTTCCCCTTCTTCCTTAAAAAATTACCCTGTGCTTCCAAATATACATAAAATAAGTGTTATTTAAATTTTCCCCTAAAAGGATTTACAGTTCATCGGTTTTAAATTCTAAAGGTGAAAATTAAGCAAAAAAGTATGATATCCCTTTTGCATGTTTTGCAGAGTCTCCTGAGAGGTTAACTTTGTAAAACAACCTGAAGGATCATAATTTCCTCAGGAATATGTTTGGGGTAAGGAGTGGGAATGAAAGAAGAAGAAAAAAAGCAAACAAAAGAAGAAACACAACCAGCTTTCCAGTTGGTGAAGAGTTAAGCTCTGACCTGGGAGCGTTACCAAAGGAAAGTCCCTCTGCTGGGAACAAAGCAAGACTCCAAGCTGTCTCAGTCCTGCTGTGTGCTGTGGCTACCTTTGAAAGTGTCTACACAAAAGAAAAAGGGGCCCCGAGATTCCTACATGTTGTACCCTGTGTGTCCACAAGATTCCATTAGCCTGGCCAAAACTTGGCAAAGGCTGAGTATAGTTAGAAACAACTAGACAGCAACTCTGTTTGTCAGTGTCCTGGGGTTCAGCTAAGCCCAGCACAAGACCCAAAGGTACCACATTTTTCAACTCATTTTCATGAATGTAAATCAGCGTCACACCTTGAGCTTACCCTTTCAATTGTTTAGGGTTCCTTTTCCTGTTGCTCCTCAAGAAAACTAGGAAATAACATTGGTAAAAACAAGTTGTACATGATTGAATTGCTAAAATACTAATTAACTTTATTTAAAAATATCACCTGCTAGGGATAATTTAATTAAAGGTTATATTAAAATATTACATAACATAAATCCATCTGTTCAGAGGTAGATAATCAATTTAGAAATATGGCTGCCGGGCACGGTGGCTCACGCCTATAATCCCAGCCCTTTGGGAGGCCAAGGCGGGTGGATCACCTGAGGTCAGGAGTTCAAGACCAGCCTGACCAACATGGTAAAACACCACCTCTACTAAAAATACAAAAATTAGCTGGGCGTGGTGGCAGGCGCCTGTACTTCCAGCTACTCAGGAAGCTGAGGCAGGAGAATCGCTTCAACCCAGGAGGTGGAGGCTGCAGTGAGCTGAGAAAGCTCCATTACACACCAGCTGGGCGACAAAAGTAAAACTCCATCTCAAAAAATATATATATATGGTAATCATCTTGAAAGCCTCTTAATGATTTATCCTTAAATGGCAGCCTTTCCAATTTGTCTTTGTTTTCGACAAGAGAAATTCTACCCAGCTAGAATATTTCCTCATGTAAGTCTTAAAGAAATTTGTTCTTTTTTTTCTGTCAAATTTATAATGGATTTTTAAGATCCCTTTTTGTGGACAAATGACTGTCTTCTATGCAGGACTTGTGTCATATTAGGTAATTGAACTAAGCAATGAACTATATGGTTTCTACTTTCCTGAAGAATACACTGTTATGAAAATTAATTTAAAATAAAATTAGCTCCTCATGGTAGTTTTTGCTAGGAGCAGGTCTATTGCCTTTAGCATCCATGGGAAAGTGAAAAATTGGGACCAAAAAAATCCACATTTTCAAATTTTGAGACATGTAGCATTTTATCCATTTATTTTCTGGCTATTAGGGAGTTCTCACTTTACCAGTGAATGTTATCAAAAGATCTTTCTCTTTTCTATCCCTGAACTCTGCACCTATCTTGGAAATAAATAGCACAATGTGTTCAGTTAGAGAATCTTCAGGTTGTAGACTATTTCTGGACTATTTAATGACTTAGTTTCCAAAACAGGAACAGTTAGTTTCAAAGATGCAATATGAAGACATATATTCATGCCCTCTCTTTTCTTCCTTTACTTCCTCCAGTCACAAATAATAGCTAACACTCTAGTACTTACAATGTGTGAAGTTCTTTTCTGAGCATTTTCCATTTTAAGCCTTACAGCACCCCTGTGATGTAGACACTACATTCCACAGATGAGGAACTGAGGCATGGTGTGGTTAGATATCTTGCAGTGATAGAAACAGGATTCAAACCCAGACAGTCTGGCTTCAGAGAACAGGCTTTTAACTACTAAGGAAACTTCCTGTCTGTTGATAAAAAGTGGAGAGACAAGATTCAGTGCATATTTTATTGTGTAATGAACTCATGCCTGTATTTGAGGACTCTTCTATAACAAACCCTGTAATCCATAAAGCATTTAAACTCTCTACATCTCAAACTTTCCCTATGAAAACATAGATCATATATGCTTATTGGCATCCTCATTGTGTCCAATCTGTGAAAATAAAAATACAATTTTATGTATATATACACAAATGATAAGCCCTGAATGTTGAGTATGATGCCCTCTGGGTGTCCAATTACTGATGTCCTTCTCTGAAGGGGCTTCATCTCCTTCCAGGCTGCAGAAGGAACACTCTTTTGCTTAATCATCTCCTACCCACTTCTAGTGGGTTTTTCTGTCCAGGCCCCTCTCAGAGAAATGTTCTACCTTGGGCTCACCCAGATACACAAGAGCAACCACACATTCTCTCTGGGGATCTGGGCCCTTCCTTGTGGCTCCACCTCTTCATGGATGGAGCCACCACAGGCAGCACAGCACCTTTGGCAAGGGCAAAGGACAAGGGACTCTGTTCCTACCCTTCTCTCCTGCTTGGGTAAAGCTGGGACATCAGGGCAATGGGGTTCACATCCAGTTATTAAAAGAAGCTAAGTCCTCTCACCCTGTCTCTTGTCAAATCATATCCCTTCCTACTGGCACTCTTTCCTATTGCTCCCTACACAGTTCCTCAATGGGAGTATCATTATTTCTCTCCCTTCACCCATCCCTCCCTCAACCTCATTCCTCTGAGAAGGGCTCAGCTTAGGCCTTTTTCCTACACAAATTTTTCCTGACCTTTTCAGCCCACATTCATCTACTCTTCCCCTTGCATTTATTTGATTATTCTGCCATAAATTTTACATTTTACATGTCACTTTAACATCATCTCTGTTCCACAATTTAGCACTCTAATATTTTGTTCACTAATTATATGATGAATATATTATTTCCCCAGTCGGATTGTAAATCTCCGTGGGCAGAGACCCGTCTTGGATTTTTCTATTACTTCATAGCATCAAGGTCAGGGTCAGCACATAGACATGCCAATGCCACATTGCAGGTTAATTATGGCGTTCTGTTCCACTGATCCCATATGGTATTTTTCAATTCTTTTCAACAGAGTGCTTCAGGCAGTCAACATAAATCAATTCGTGTTGGCATCCAAGACAAACAGACTTATTATCCCTGTTCAGGAGTTTCCTAAGCACTAGTTCTTGTGAAGGTACAACCCAAGTGAGTAGGCAGCCAGCAACCACATTTCTACCCTCACCAGGCTTCATCTCTCTCTACCCACTTTGCCATCCCCAGCTGAGACATGGTTGCCACCAATACACCCATGTTGTTTGAACACCATGGTGGTCTATCCGTGAAACCTCCTATTCCAGAATTAAGTCCTGACCACGCTGTGGATCACAGTGACTTCACTTACTTTCTACATGTTCATTCAATTGCACTAAAGCTGTTTAGACTATGTCGAGGTTTCTTAGATTCCAAATGAATTCAATGACTGCTTCTAGGTGAGTATCCAGCCTGTGCTGGATACCAAGGAGGCTACAGAGAAGAATGAGCCAGAGTTGCTGCCCTCTAGAATCCCAGTCTGCTGTGAGTTAAATAACAGAAAACTGTATTCTGTAAGATGAATTGTTACCACAAGGCATTTCATTCCTCTGGCCAGAAGGAAGTACAGCCAAGTCTGACTGGATACATTTAGCCAGGAGCACCACATCCATTTTATTAGCATGGTTTATAGGAGATTAAGTGCTAAGACATAGGGCCACTCATGGAATAAGAGTTCAGAAAAGGAGGTACATGTGGGTAGGAGCCAGTGAGTAAGACACAATGGAGGAGGTGTCATTTCCCCTGAAGTGTGGGAGTAAGCTGGATAGAAGGAAGGGAGGGAAAGGACACAACACTCAAAATAGGAGGGAGAACTTGAACCAAGGTACAGATAACAAATAAGCAACATGTGTTCAGGGAGGTGTGATGAGACTGTCCAGGCTGAAGCTAATCAGGAATTTCTGCTGGAGAGGGTCAAGGGTTAAATAACCAAGGTGTTCCATGTTGCTGGATGTCTTCATCAGTTAACTGGGAAAGCCTCAATGCTGACCTTTATAATAAAAGAAAGGAAGCTTCAGGAAGGGGAAAATGAAAACCTCACTTACAAGAGACTTGCTTGGGGATCTAATACTACTCTGAAAACTCTGTTGTGTTCAAATTTCAAAATACAGTGAAGAAGAAAGTAGCCACACTAATGTCTATAAACTACATGGCACATTTTCTTGCTATTGAAGCACAAAATATTTAAAACTCCTGTAGGGGCCTATCACCGTGTTAGAGAAAGCAATTAGGGGTAGTAGAATGAATTAAGAAGCTCGATCTGCAAAGTCATTTCAGAGGTACGCTGCTTTCTTTACTGTCAGCAGTTCTAAGCTGATAGAAATCACAAAAAGGAACTGGATTTCATGCTATTATTAATATTCCTCCTAACACTTATGTCTCCTTCTACTTCTTACGTCCCTTGCCTCAGCAAGGGATTTGATATTCTGCTTCTTTATTGTAACTTTATCAGTTAAACATCAGTTACCTTGACAAAAGCAAACCCAAAAGATGATTTGTGAAAGTTAAAGGCAGAACCAGAAGTGTTGCTCAGCTCATCCTTAATTCAGTGTCAGCCCAACTGCTACCCCTCTGCTTTCTCCAGAGCTCCATCTTAGGAGTCACTGCTTCCTGTGTCCGGTGTCTAGATTCGCTGTATGGCTGATTTATCTTGTCCTGGCTGTGGATAAAGTCCCTTCCCTTTAGTGTCCACTGGGAGAGAGTAGAAACTTTTCAAAAAGAACTTTACTAAACTTTCGGAGAAATAATGCAAAGCCATAGATAATGTGTTTTCGACTGTAGCTTCCTGACCCTGAGGTGGAAGGCACAACGAGGCAGAGACCTGGCCTTGCCAGAAGGCTCATTTCTCTCTACGGGGGAAACCAAGCCCCTCAGCAATCTCTGTCATTGAGTCTTATTTCTCTTGAGGTCCCTCCTTTGTTCTTTGAAAGAAAGGGCTGGAATGAGAGGCTCAGTCACAGCCCCTCCTGAGCCAGTCTGTGGGTATTTACACCATTGCTTTAACCACAGCAGTTGGCTGAAGATTGATGATAAGGATATTGGTTTACGTGCACATGGACTGCTCATTCCGTATGACAATTCCAAGTTGGAAACATGTCATATGACTTGTTTGAAAATGTGCAAATAAAGTCTTTTCTTTCATTTGACTTTGTCAAGAACAAATGTCGGAAAAATGGCCCACGGAAAAAGGTAAATGAAGCAATTCTTGGGGAAGGCTCTCATGCCTACACTACCAACAGCCTCACAAATGCAGCCCATCTTCTATACTTTTGATAACATTCAAATACTTGACTAACATTTATTATGTTTCTACTATGTTCCAGGGGTTGTGGGGAAATGATATAATTCTTTCTCCAATGAGCATTGTCTATATTACAGATAGACAGCATGAAAATAACTTAAGTTCTATTATATTACGGAGTATCTCAGGATAAACCAAGAACATGGACTATAGAGGCAAAACTAGGTTAAAAATCCTAGGTCTAAGACTTAGTAGCTGTGTGATTACACCTTCAACTTCTTTTTTTTTTCCTTTGTAGGATGTGAATGATAATACCTATTTCAAGGGGGTGCTGTAAGGATGAAATGGGAAAATGCATATAATAGGTACATTAGGAGGATAGGAATGGTCACTTCTTCCTACAGCAAGGCATCTCAAATTTTAACATGCACCAGTTTTTTTTTTAAATCTTGTTAAGAAGCAGATTATATTTCAGAAGGCCTAGGGTGGAGCCTGAGATCCTGCATTTTTAACAAGTTCCCAAGTGATATCCATGATGTTTCTTGCGGGTAGGGCGTGCACTTTCTTTAGCAAGGGCTTTGAGATTATTTTGTTTTTGTTTTTGAGAAACTGATGCTGGAAGCAAGTCTTGAAAAAGAGTAGGTACCATTCAAGAAGACAATAGACAGTGGAAAGAAGGGCATTCCAGGAGGATGAATGGAAGTACTGGCTTTTGAGAAGCATAAGAAGCATAGGGAGTGAGGAACGTGAAGGGTGAACTTGGGGAGAGGAGGTTAGGACAAGAGAGAATAGTGAGACATAGGGTCTTCTATGCCTTGCCAAGGAGTTATTCATTCCATAGTTAATTAGGGACCCATAGAAGGACTTGAAGATGTGAGTGATTTGATCGGCTATGAGATTCAGTGATATTACCCCGGAAACAGTGGGAGTATAGGTTGGATGGGAGGCTGGTTGGAGTCAGGAGGGTATTGTGGTATGCTTGATCAGATACAGTGAGCATGAACGAATGCAGTAATGGCAGTATAGACTGAAAGAAACTGATGCTGATGGGAGACATCAGGATATGAAACTGACAAAACTTGGGCATTTATTAGATATTGAAAGAGGAAATGAAGTTTAAGGTTTATGCCCAGTTTCTGATTTAGGTAACTAGGTAGATGATAACATCACTTTTTTTTTGTAACCCAGGAGAAAGAAAAGTAATTCAGGAGGAAGAGAAGAGTTTATGAAAAAGAAAATGAGTTGAGTTTGAAAATATGTTGAGTTTTTGCAACATCCAAATGGCAGTGTCTGATAACAAAATTGGAGATGCAGGAGAATAGTTTGGGAGCTATCTGTGTATATTATGGTGGGTTCTATCATTCAAGGAGAATAGCTGGAAGAGAACAAGAGGAGACAAGACAAGATTTCCATGCTAGCCAACATGAGTAGTGAGCAGAGGAAGAGAAATCCACAAAAGACACCAAGGAGAAATGATCAGGAAGAGATGCAGACTGAGGAGGAAAAGCCTAGGGAGACAAGGTTTCTAGAAGAAAGTTATCAGCTTTATCAAACACAGCTAAGAAGTCAAGTAAATAAGGACTGAAAACCAGGAATTGGTACATTTGTAGTAATTTCAGTGGAATAATTTAGAGGAAAGCCTACATTACTTGAAGTAGGTTAAAAATAAATGGAACATAAGGAAGCAGAGATAGTCAATGTGGAATATTCTTTCTAGCAGTTTGGCTATATTGGGAGCATTTTAATAACTAGTAGCCAGACATAGCTCCAAGATTGAGTGTTTCATTTAATTGATTGATGGATTCATTCATTTATTCACTTAATAGTTGTTTTGAGCACACTTTGGCTGCTGGGAAAGAGTGAATAATGAGGGAACTTTTAAAAATAGGCCATGGGAGTGACTAAGAGAACAATTCCAGGAAAAGCAGCACAAATTCTTTTGAGACTGTAGGAAATAAGGTGGAGCTGAGCATTTGTGCAGATGGGTCCCTAGACATAGGGATGGATATTGCACACTTGGTAGCTCAAGTTTATTCTGTAACATGGAAGGCAGGATCATTGGCTGGGCACTGAAGGTACAACTGCACCTAGAGATCAACTATGTATTGATTGACGCCTACTCTCAAACTTGGGTGATTTTCTTCAGCAGCTCTTGAACCTCTGCTCATATTTTCTTTGAAATTGTCCACAAACCTTGTTGATGCTACCACCCCAAATAAAGAAGCATGTGTTTCATAAATAGAGCATTTTCTGATATACCCATCTTTGGAATTCCAAACGGCAAGCTGGCCTTCTTCCCTCTGCACTTCATTTGTCTGGTTTTTGAGTCGACAAGAATAGATAGAGATAGAAAGATGGATTGTGTGTCTGTATGTATATATATTGCACTCTTGGTGGGTGATGACATCTATGGGATCATCAGAGAAATCTTTCAAAATTGCAGAATGAAAAATTTGAAAACTTCAACTTTTATTCACACAGAAATCGACTTAGTGCATACCTTCAAACTTTTTAATCCCAAAAGCTTTACATGCCAAAATTCTTGTGTTCATTTTCCCTAGATTATCATGCATTTTACCTAGACTATCATGGGTCCTCAACTTCCTCCTCCACTTCTCAGCTAAACACCAGTCAACAACTGACTGACAAAGTAGGAGGCTAATAGTCCTTGTTGACAAGAAGAGTAACAGGCTACTGGCATTAGTTACAGTCTTCAATCTTTAGGACATCTCTGCTGACTTCTGGAGGTCAACTGCAAGCAGAGACTCAAGTCAGCTAGCTCATAGATATTTGTTTCCTCAGGGGTGGGAGGGAAAGGAGGAGAGTAGGGGACAGAAATAATAGTTTAGAAAATAAAAGTTCTAATTCTATTTTGAGTTACATCAACTAGTAGAAAATATTATTTCAGGGTGGGCACGGTGGCTCACGCCTGTAATCCCAGCACTTTGGGAGGCCGAGATGGGCGGATCACAAGGTCAGGAGATCAAGACCATCCTGGCTAACAGTGAAACCCTGTCTCTACTGAAAATACAAAAAAATTAGCTGGGCGTAGTGGTGGGCACCTGTAGTCCCAGCTACTCAGGAGGCTGAGGCAGGAGAATGGCGTGAACCAGGGAGGCAGAGCTTGCAATGAGCCGAGATCGTGCCACTGCACTCCAGCCTGGGCGATTGAGCAAGACT
This sequence comes from Homo sapiens, assembly GCF_000001405.40. Taxonomy (NCBI): domain Eukaryota; kingdom Metazoa; phylum Chordata; class Mammalia; order Primates; family Hominidae; genus Homo; species Homo sapiens. The sequence continues at coordinate 97,126,664 of NC_000005.10, read as the reverse complement.
CTGTCTCAAAAAAAAAAAAAAAAAAAAGAAAGAAAATATTATTTCAAATATTTTCAAAAAAATTAAAAAGCTCTGTAATGACCAATTCTCAACTTGACCATTCAATATGTATTTTATTGATTAACTCAAGTATCCCCTCACTACTTTTAACATTTTCCCAATTTCTTTCCCAAATCACTTCTTAAATTACTAAACACTGCAGTTTTTAAATATACATGGCAACCAGTTCCTTAGGAGTTGCCAGAATTTGCCTGAACTATACACCATGAAGCTGATCAGTGACCTACAGAGGAGGTGCAGACACCTAGTGCTCTAGTAAACATTTAGAAAGTGGCTATACAATGATTTTGCCTCCAGATCACACTCTGAGATACTCCAGACTCACTGAAAAATGTCACTGTCCAGAATTTTAAAGCAGATCCAAGAATATATTCAGGATAATGGCAAAGGGCATAGATGCCGTGTTACACAAAGCATGTTTGAAAGAGCAAAAACTATTTAATCTAGAACTTGAAAAAACATGAGTGTTGACTGTTTAGTGTACTTTTCATATGCATGTGAGAGATGCCACCTGAAAATGGCTTAAGGAAAAAGCAGGTGGGTTGGTTAGATAACTTCAAGTCCAATCAAGGATCCTGGATTATGGGCATAGCTGAAACCAGGAGCTCAAACTATGTTGTCAAAACTTAGCCCTCCTCCATCTCTTTACTGAACCGTTCTCTGGGCTTTCTTCTCAGCCAGATTTTCTTCTTGCTTGGGCAGCACCATGCTTACCTCCTACGGCTCCAGAAACCCCACTGAAAACAGGAAACTTTCAACATTTTCAACACATTCATTGTCCCTAAATGGCTTGGCTATGGCCAAATTCCCACCTGCACCCCTCGAGACCACATGATTGTTCAAGGAAAATCTTGGTGCTGTTTCCACAAGCAGGGAAGTGAATGCCAGGCAAGCAAAACAACAGATGTCTTATACTGCTTTTAAACCTGTGGTGGGCTCCCATGTGGATAAGGAAATAAACTTTTTGAGGCCTCAGAAATGAGAAGTAGACCCTCTGCATGAACCTTACAGGAAAGCAGATTTCAGTTCACTCCTACAAGGACCTTTTCACAGAACCATTAGCAGTTGAAATAGGCTGCCTCAGGTTGTGGCAAGTACTAGGTCCTTCCACATGTTCAGGTACAGGCCAGATGAGCAGCTGTCAGGAATGCTGGCGAGGAATTCCTGCATTAGGCAGGGCTTTGCCTACATGACCTATAAGGTCACTTTTGACTCTACAATTCTATTATCCTTGTTAATTTCTACAATTTAATTTGCAGTACAGGATAAACAAACCAATCTAATTTGATCTGGAACTTCTGCAGGCTATCACAGGTCATTTAATCTAAAACATATGGCTCTAGCCATTACTATGTTTTCTGAAATACTCGAACAGACCTTGTTCTTAACAAGGTCTTCATGTTATTAGTTTCACTCATGGATTTTTCCAGCCTCCTGCTTATTCTACAACTGCCTTTCATTCTCGTTTAGACTGGGGTGGAAGGAGCATGAAAGAGTTCCCTTCTTTCTGACTTTCTCTTCTTAAATCTTTGCAGGCTTAAGAATCTATGAGAAATGAGAAAGAGGACCACAGATAATCACAGCTCTGGATAAAGTCTATTAAGACAAATGTTCAAAGCAGAATGAGATTTTTAATTTTTATATTAAAAATTAATTTATAGAGTAAATTTGAAATACTGCTATATTGTTTTAATTAGGGTACCAAAACCACTTCTTGAGCCTTACTCATTAAGAAATATACACATTTGCATTTGTAAATAACAGGTTCAATTTGTATATTTTAACATACTTTAAATATATTTAAATAAAGTATATTCTTTCACAGCTAAAAGCCCCTCCACCCCACTATCCACATACCCAGCTCTACTTAAACTGGAACTGTCATGCTACAGAATCCAGCTTGCAAATAAAATTTTGGTTTTGCACCAGATTATGTCCATCCTTAATAACTGATGGTGTTTCTTGTCTTTTTCAGTGAACGTTGTGTCAATGTTACAGGAATTTTGGGAAAGCAAGCAGCAGCAGAAGGCTGCATTCCCAAGTGAAGGTGTGGTGGTCTATGAGTCACTGCCAGCTCCTGGGCCTCCCTTTGTGAGTTACGTGACCCTCCCAGGGGGAAGCTGTTTTGGCAACTTTCAGGTAAGAAGTAGCCATTAATTTGTCAGTGAAAGTTCATTGGGCTAAAATAAAGTAAACCTTTTTGTAAACTGGTAACATTACAAATTTTCTTGGAAATAGTGAACAAAGTTGTACCATATCCTATGAATGAAAACAACCAGAAAGGAATTAAATTTGCCAATATCCTTTATAAATACCCTTTTAATTGAGTAAATTATCCCTCAATTTTCAATAACTGGCAAAGATGTTTTATTTCTTGCTTATGGATACCGTGAAACTCATAAGCAATCAAGTTTCTTAGTTTGTCAACTAAAAAGCCCAAGGCAAATTTTCAGGTCATTTTTTTGTAGTGTAAGTCTACAGAACTTAATATCATATAATTTTTAAGACTAACGTCATACCTGATACTATTTATATTTTAACCTTTACTCTCCCTTTGAACTTATGAAGTCACTCATTTATTGTATCCTGTTACCAGGTGTATCTGTTTTACATGGTTTCAAATCCTTCACTGAGTGAGGGAAGGGTATAATTTAATAAACAGACCTACAAACCTATGCTGCCTCTGGGAAGTCAAAGAAGGATTCACAAGAAATATAAATGTGAACTGAGGCATTCAGTTGATGATGTCTTGGCCAATGGGAAAGGGAAAAAATGACACTCTTAGCATAGGGAACCACAGCATTTTCAGAATTAGGGAAGCATAAGGGTTAATGTGTGGCAAGGAACGGTTGGGAGAGGACAGGTAGGCACTCACATCAAACCATAAGAGATCTTCATACTTTGCAAAGCAGTACAGGTTTTATTCTATATAAAATCAGAACCTTTGAAGGATTCTGAGCAGAAGAGTGATGTATTCAAATGTACTTCAGAAAGATTACTCGGGTCACAGCATGAAGATGCTTTGGATTTAAACGATTTAAATGGCTGAGAGGCTGAAAGTGATGAGTGCCCATGGAGACAAGCTGCAAACACAGTATGTTCAGGAGCTAAAGGTGAAGGGACTTCACTAGGAATGAAAGTTGGGAAGATACTTTCATGCCTAATGAAGTCTCTTCACCTTCACCTTTACCAGTGGTCAGCCCTGGCTTTGGCCACTGGGTGGGAAACACAGGAGGAAGTGGAGCGGGTATGTGAAAGGTGAGGACGAAGAAAGTATGAAGTACCTGGAAGCCAAACAGAGAACAGCAATCGCCCTCCCCTATCCAAAAAAAAAGTAAGATCTGAAGCTCAAGGAAGAGATATGGGTTGAACTTCTACATTTCTAAGCGGAAGCCACAGCTACAGGTACCACTGCCAAGTGAGGATGTGTGGTGTGAGAAGATGATCAAGGAATGCTCTTAGGAACAGTTTTAGTGGGGGAAATAAAAGAAGAAAGATTTCTCTAAAAAGCCCATTGCCCAGAAAGAGACAAAGAACCAGAAGAGGGGATTTATGGAAACCGAGAGATGTGACATCTTGAGACTGAGGGTGAAGTGAGCAGCGGTCAGCCACAGGACAGATGTCCAATGAGATGTTTCCACTGACTGTGATGAATGTGAAATCCTTATTAACCTTCCGAAAAGTAATGTCAATGGAGAAAATGGGATACAAATTAGATTACAGTAGATTACAGTTGTTAGAGTAAAATAGGGGTTTAGAAGTAGAGATAGTGTCCTTCAGTAAGGATTTAGAGGGCTCCTTCCTACTCTGGTGGTCAGCACTGCTTGTGAAAATAGGACCACATTGCCTATTGTCCAGCGGGGAGTTGGAGACAAAACATGTTCTGGTCAAACTGGCATCAGTGGCTTCCAGACATCTAAGCCATAATTAAAGCTGGGAAGGACAACTAAAACTGAGCCACTGAATATTCAGACAGTTCTCAAATAGCCTGCAAAGATGGGCCAGAATCAACAAGATGAACTCTTAGAATATAAAATAAAAATTAAAAAAGTCTCAAGATTGAATCAAGATGGAGTGGACTTAGCACATTCTTCAAACTCTTTTCTAGTCTGAAATTCCCTAAAATGTCAAAGACATGTTTTAAAATAAGTAAATTCACAATAGTGCTAGGCAAGAAGAAAGGGTGCCATTGGAAGAGATGAACTTTGAGGCAATTCCGGGAGACGAGAGTAGAATCAAATTATTAGGGGCAAAGATGCCACAGTCTAAATATATATAGGAGAAACGTACTGTGAAAGTAAAGAAGAGCTAGAGAAACTCCAGGTTCACATGAACAAATGCAAAGAGCAGAATGCAGTCCTGGGGTAATTTTAAGGCTAATCAAAAACTGCTTTCAAAACTTCTGACCCATCCAGCCAGTGAGGTGTTGCCTTCCCCACTCCGAACAGTAGTCAGCAGTGTGTTTTTACCACTGGTAAATGAAAGTGAATTGACTGAGGAGGATGATTTGAATGTGGGTATAGAAGCCTCAGAACAGAGCTTGATGTAACCGTGGACACCAAAGACACGGATGAGAGGCAGCGAAGGGGAAAGAAAGGCAGCCATTGAGGAAGAGGCTCTCCAACCCACTTGTGCCTGCAGGTCCATTATTGAGCATCCTAAGGTGAAGTCTGCCTGTCAATACACCCCATTCAATACGAAGCACCCAGCTGTCCTCTCATTCAGGGGAGCCCCTCTAGGGAAACAGACATTCTCAAGCATAGAGGAAGGTTTTGTCAGCCATCTAAACTAATGTACTTGTTTGTCCATCTATGTCAATGAACTTAAGATCACCAAACATTTAAGGAAAACCAAATGCATAAAAGACCAAAGGCAAGCAAACAAAAGAACAAAACAATTCAAGCAGCACAGAATGTAAAAGAGTATTAAGTTAATATCCTCAGAAAATTTTGAAAGGATATTTCTCTCTAAAACAGCTATTAAAATGGAGCAAGCAGGGAGCAAGAAAATGAAATATGATGGCCAAATTAGAACAATAAGTATAAAGAATTAAGAGGAGCAAATAGAGTAGCAGACATAGACAGCCAAATTAGTAAGGAATAACTAAGTAAAGTCTTCTAGAACTTAGAGCAAAAAGACAGAGATGGAAGACAGTACAGGAGACATGCAGATAAATTTTGGAGGTAAACATCAATTTAGTAAGAGCTCTAGAAAGAGACAAAGGAAATAGAGGGGAGGAAATAAATAACAGAGGCAATTTTCTTTGAGTTAAAGAAAAGCATAGGTTGTCAAATGGAAATGGCCCAACATATTCCAAGCAGAATCATAACAAAAGAAAAGCACAGCTCTGTGGTTATGTGGGACTTAGAGACAGCATTCTGCTTAAAGGTAGATCAAGGGACTTTTTTGATACTGCATATGTACACTATCTGTTTTTAAAATTAGATTGAACATATACGTAGCTTTAGGGAAACTTCAGGGGGCATTAGCTCCCTGAAATGGGACAAAAACTGGCAAACTTGGTTAACAAAATCAAAAACTATTTCTTTGAAAAGACAAATAAGAAAGACAGATCTTTGGCATTTCCGATTAAGGAAAAAAGACACACCACACTAAGCATTAAAGAGAGGATATAATCATAGGAGTGTAATATAAGAATACTATATAAATCATTATTCATTGAAACATGAAAACTTAGATGATATGGACTACTTTCTGGGAACTCTTTACAATCTTTGCAACTCTTATATAAGCGTAGCATTTATTTCAAAATAGAAAGTAAAAAGGGGGGCTTCAATGGCTCCCTGTTACTTTCTTATTAAAGCATACATTCCTTACTCTGGCAATAAAGATTCTACAGCTGGTCCAACTTTCCCTTCCAGTTTTATCTCCCCGATTTCCTCTTCTGACACTTAATGCTTCTACCTAACTGTTCCTCATGCATGTCTTGACCTCTTCTAACCATTCCCATACTCACATTGAGATCTACTTAGGAAATGCTATTGCCACCTTCTCTTCATGTCTAAACCCTGACCATCTTCCAGGACTCCACAAAAAGTTTTCTCTGAATCTCCCTGATGGAACTCCCTACCTCCTGTGATTTCCCAAAGCAGTGTTCTCTGTTTCTCTACTAGGCTTAATGTTTTCTACCGTATGCTCCAGTTGTCTATGTGCATGTTCTTTCCCTTTACTGAAATGTAAGTTCCAGGGATGGGGTGTGTATCCTTATGTTCCCCATGACCTCAAGCACTGTGTTTCGCATACAGTGCATAAAGTGCCTAATAAATTGTGTTAAGTGAATAGCCAAATGAATGAATAACAAATCCAAAGAATAAATGAAGTTAATGTTTGTCCATTCTTGTATGTAACCAATAGTCAGCTAAGATCATTCACCTAAATCTGCAAGATAGTGGGCTAGGAAGGAAAAGTCAGTAACAGTAAAATCAGCTGATATTATTTTGTTCATATCTGTGGTTAAAGTTTTGAAAATGGATGAATTTAAAAGTATTGATTAAAAATATCTTATGATTCTCTCTGGATTTAATTTATGCATAGCAACTTTTTCCCCACCCGACTCTTAGGACCATAAATAACCAAGATCTGGCAGTACTCACACCCAGGCATGCATTATATTTGTTCATACATTCATTATACTCTATCTAGAATATAATGCATTTGACAGATTGGTGAATGGATCTAGAAGATATGAGTGTAAGAAATTCTAGTGTTATTGTTTTTGTTTTTGTTTTTGCTACCCGGAGAAGTATAAATTTTCCTATCATCTCATAAATTTTGACCCAAAATGATAGCTCTTCCCTTAGGTAATAAATTCAACATCCTCCTGTGGTCTTAAAAAAAAAAGAAAAGAAATAGGAAACAAAATGAAAAACTGAAAACTTCAGCAGGGAGGCCTCTTGCTGATTTCTCTGATCATTTTAGGGTCCCCTTTTCTTTATGTTTAAATCATCATATTTTAAGGCTCTCAGGAGGACTGTTAACATCTTTGCTTAAAAAGATCCAGAATTTCCTGAATCAAGTATGTTTTGAAAATGTGTTTGGGTGGTTGGCTGCCAAATCTGGCCCCTTCACCCATTTGGCCCTCCAAAATATGACTTGAGAAGGAAAACCAGGGGGAAAAATGAAAGAACATTTCTCCTAAAGCAATGTGCTTACACTTTTCTTTGTCAGTTCAGAAACCATCTTAAATGCTATTTTCACCATATAACATTTCATCATGTTTTTGCCAGCAGTTGGACTATAAGAGCCTACATGCTCATTCCTGCAATGCCTTTCACATAATCAAATGTCACCCCTGTGCATTACAAATCATTTCACGATGGATTATTAATGCCAAGACCATGTGCTGAAACATGGAGAAACCATTATGCCAGCAGTAGCCTTCTTACTGAGCCATGGACGTCACCACCAATGGTGCCAAGTAATTGAAAATACTTGAAGTGGAGTATGGGACTGGATTGTGGGACTAATCCCTCTGGTTTCAGGCAGTTTCATGAAAGCTGTAAGAGATTATGCTCATTCATTCTTTAGGAAAGTAGTATTCAGACTGAACTTTAGTTTTCTGATTAATCAAAGGAAAGCAGTCCAGTCAAAGACTCTGATGGATACAAACCACTGGTTTTTATGCAGAGAAGCCTCTCACTGAAGTAAATGGGAAGCTGTGTCCATGAAAGCTAATTAAAGAATTTTCAGTTAGCCTTGACACCACAACCTACAAAAAACAGAAACAGAGAGAGAATGAAAGAGAGAGAGAGAGAGAAAGCAGCCATAGCCCTGCCTTTAGACCAGGCCTTCATAAGTTACTACAGGATAGAAAAAGAGAAGTGAAAATATAATTTTATTTCTGCATTTCTAAAAAATAAATAAAATAATCTACTGATTAAAAATTTTTTTTTCAGAAAGTTGTATTGAAACACATTAGTACTTATTGGATCTTTTATAAAAGAAATAATTTTCTAACATTACAAGCATTAAGTATTTCATGTATTTTAGACATATTTTCTTCATGCCACTTTTGTCTAGGCAGTTAATCCTTCCCTAGCCACATATCATGACCATGAAAACTTGCAGTAATTTCCATTTTTTTACAATAGAGCAATACAAGGGCCATCAGATCCACGTCTGGCTCCCCTCTTGATGAACTCAGAAGGAAAGCCACTCATTGTTGCAGCAGCTGTTTTTGCTTCCAAATCCAAAAGGGAACTTGAGTATTTTATCTTATTTTATATTTTGATTTAAAGGGTTTGTGATTCAAGTTTTGCTTTCAAGTCAGTGACGTGGTCTTCCACATATAGCCTGCTGGAATGACTTGAATTAATGCATTTCATTCTTATTTTGACTAAAAAGGAAAAATTTCCTCGAATATAGTACTAGAGCATGTGATTATTTATGTGCATGAATTATGATTGAATGAAAAATGCCTCCTGACAAAAATATTAATGTGATAGCTCGATCTATTTGGAATGTGAGACACTCACTCATCGGGGCATTATATCTTTTTCACATAAGTATTTTGTTGTTAAAATGGCTTCCCAGAAAATAAGTACAGGTGTTAAACACTGGGTTCTGGTACTTAGGCTAGTTGAATAGTGCCAAGCACTCTATGAGGTTGAGACAATCAATTCTTCCATAGGCAAACTGTTGATTGACCTTTTTTTTTTTTTTTCCATTTGTAACCAATGTTTGGTGTTGCAAAACAGGGCTGCAGAGTAGTGAGATGCGGGGTGGCACACAGTGCAGATGAGCTCCTTGCCAAGCTCTGTCTCTAAAAGGCAATGAATTCATTTGATGGGTTTTGATTTTTATGCCAATCTGGTTTTCAAACCAAAGCTATTGCCTATGCTGATATCTAGAAAAACTATTTTTCCAAGGAGCATACAGCCTTAAACAAGGTGAGGAGTATTTTAATTTTGTTTTATTTTAGTTACTTAAGGCAGTAAGCAAACTTAATCTGCATTACCAGACATAAAAACGCGTTTTATACTTCCATGCGTTAAATGAGTCTTCTCAAAGTCCATGGAATTAAAAGTACATTTAAATCACAATAAACTAAGTTTATAAAATTAAGTTTTTCCCAGTAGAGAATGACTAAGAAAATCTGATTAATTCATACACTTGACTCAATGGAATTGTAATGCTCTTTTTGCTGAGCGTTAAATAAGGCCTGGCCTTGACATTCCACATCCCAAATAGGGATTTAGTTCCTGCTATAAACTTGAGACTATTGCCCAGCACTAATGCTGTTTTAATGCCTAGTATTTCTATTTGAAATTATCCATGACCTCTTCTCTGCCTCTAGGGTGGTATACCTTGACTCAGATGGACGACATGCTATGCAATGTAACTTAACTTCTAAAGGAGGTATTTCCTGGTGGAAATCTCCACAGGAAAGCATCCTGTTTTATAACTAATGAGACTCAAAGACGGGAAGGTTAGTTATAACCATTCGAAAGTCATATGTCAGCTAATTATCAGATCTTAATGACTTGCCCATGAAATTGGGAGTGCATATTGCTTTAATGAGACCCTTTATTTATTCCCCAGCCTCCTTCCCTAACTTTAATCTGTTTCTTTTTTTATTAAACAAAGTGAATAGAAATTCTTGACCTCCAAATATAGAATGTAGTGAAAGAAATGATTAGGAAAGGCCCCATGGTAAATAAAGACTTCAGACTATCTCCACAGGAGTCTCCCAGCCCCTAGTTCATAAACTTTAGAAAGATGCTCACCAGCTCAGTGAGTTGCTGAGTGGGGAAGAAAGCCTGACTCCATCTCTCCCTAACTCCCCCATCCCAACTCCTTTCACATCAAAGCAACTATAAAAATAAACCCAAATCTTGAGCCCTGATCAATTCGTCTTGTCTACACCTTAACTTGAAAAAAAGAAAAAGAATAAAAGAAAAAAGAAAAGAAAAGGAATAAAACCTCAAGGAGCAAAGCACAACACAGGCTTGTAATAGCTACCAGGGACCTTGGTCTAGGTATGTGTGTAGAATAGCATTGCGGCAGAGGTAAACGAGGAGAAGGCCAGGTGGTTTATATTATAAAAATAACATTCTGACCCACCATGTGCATGAAACATTTCTTTCAGTTGACAGGAACTGGTGAGTTTTCTCTGAAAATTGGACTCCCAGAGCAGTCCCCTCCCCCACACCTAGCTAAGACCCCCATCCCCAGCACACACAGAGCTCTAAATTGTTCCCAACATATTTGCAGCCACCCTGACCTATGGATAGACACGATATTAACTTGGGTGACTGAGTTCCAACGGTTGCCCTTTTTCACATCACCATCTGGAAGGAGAAAAAATGTTAATATATCCACAATTAGATAAATTGGAACACATGCAAATGTTCATGCTTCGGTCAGGGTAGTCAAGGTTTTAAAGCACTGAAAGGGGTTCCGTTAGCAACAGGGTCTGGTTTGTGGCATTCTTCGTGAAGGCTTGCTGTCAGGATGAAACCGAGGTGTTGGTGACACTGACCAGAGCTGTCAGGCAGTACGCACAAACTCCGCAAGTCACTTGCTAAAAGTCGGACTCCAAGTCACAAAAGCAAAATGTTCCCAAGCACCTGAATGACAGACCTAACAGCCGATAGGATTTGGGCAGGAATTCTCACTTCTCACAGAGTCAATTTATTTGGTTTTGCCACCTGCAAAGTCCCAGCTTTGGAAAACCCCTTGGGTACCATGTGCTATTGAATAAATGCCACCTAAATAACACTGACCTGCCCTTGACCCCAGAGAAGATGGCATCTTCAGCTTTGAATCTGCAAATAGATACAATCTGTCACATTAGCTATTACATTACTGTTCTTTTTTTTTTTTTTTAATCCTGCTTCTTACAGACTGTGTTTCAACTCCTTGGCTACCATTGGGAGGCACCAGTGAAAAGGTGCCTAAAATGTGTTTTATACATTTTAGATCTGGAGACCATTTTTCTCCTGATGTCTTTAAAACACATGTGTGAATAACTGTAGAAAGTCTGTTGTTTAAGATAGAAAGTTACTTGTATCAATGTCCTTCCATATGCATTCCTAAAGAAAGCACTGTAGTTGGGATGTAAGTACAGTAAAACCTTGGGATGTAGAAACAACTACTCAACACATGTATCCTGCCTATTTTCTAATACAAAGCATGGAAAACAATCATTAATCAAATGAGGGCTACCAGGAAAGTTACTGTTTCATGTCTAAATTGCTTCAGCTTGGCCAGAAGATGGTTCTATAATCAGTAAGACACCTACAGATAGTTTTAAAGTATTTCACAAATAAGTAATAAAAAAACTAATTTCTTATTAGGAATTTCTATTTATAACACATACATGATTACCAAAATTTTATTTCAATTAATATAAGAACTTCAGTTAATGCTAAATAGTTAACTAGTCATTATTTTATTTCAGGACAGCCTACTGGTCAACAAATTAATCTTGGTTAAATCTCAACATTACATAGTGTGACACCCTGGAAAATAATCATAGAAGAAATAAAAACTGTTAAGCAGAGAAGTGAAATTGAGACCTCAGTTAGTTAAGTCAGTAGTGCTATGTACTTCCTAAGGATCTAATTGTAGAAGAACTATCATAAAGGACTTTTTTTAAACCTGAATGCTACTTTCCTTGACTCTTGGGTAGAAGCAGTTTCTCTAATGAGAAATCAGCATTTCTGATGTTAGCAGAAGTGGCTTTACAATGAAGACAATGAAGCTTCTGCAGAGGCTCTTTGTAAATCACAACGCCAATCTTTTTATTTGTAATTTCATATTGTTTTTCTTAAACAAGGGCCCCCAAATTGTGTAAGCCTCAGGCCCCACAAAACTTGGTTCTGCTCCTGCCTGTTGGAAATGAGACATGGCAGGGGCAGAGGTTTCAGCAACACTCCTCTAAGAGTTGTCCTGGGTCCACATGTCAGAATCACCCGCAAATCTTATTATATGCAGACCCCACCATCATATAGCTGAAGAGATTCGGATTCAGTAGGTCAGCTTTGGGCGCAGGAATACACATGTTTAACAAGTTCCTGGGTAACTGTACTATGAACACTAAAGTTTTTGAACTATTGGTCCAAACTCCCGGCCTAGGCTTGGCAGCAATCTTTATAGTGTACCCTATAGGGTCCTGGTGACTTGTTGGTCATCTTAATCTATGATAAAATACAGGGCCAAAATGAGTTAGTCTTGGGGGAAATTTTTTATTCATCAGAGCGAGGGAAGTTTATTTTTTGTTTTATTTATTTAGTTTTTGAATTTTAGTACAGACCAGGTCTTGCTACATTGTCCAGGTTGGTCTCAAACTCCTAAGTTCAAGTGATCTTCCAGCCTCAGCCTCCCAAAGTGCTGGGTTTACAGATATGAGCTACCATGCCCGGCCAGAGAAGTTTAATTTAAATGACTTTTGCTCTTGAAGAGTTATCAATACTTCTTGGAATGCTGAGCAACCTTGTGTGGTAGAATTCCAAAATCTCTTGGCCCCGTACTTCATCAAGAGAGTACTTAAGGTTAGAATGAGATGCTTCCTACAAGGTAACATCTGATCTCTGGCCTAGTCGCAGTTGGCCTTTCTCTATTTTCCTTCTCCCTATAGTCCAGGAAAGCATCCAAAGGAGAACAACAGGAGGGAGGAGGAAATTGAGATAATGTCAGCATATTCCTGTCCTCAGTGAGTACCATTTATCCCCACAGTGTACTGTATCTTGCTTGGCCTTTTGTTGTAAATGAAGTCAAGTTTGTCATGGGAGGAGATATCCTTGTAGTCTTATATCAAAATGACCCATAAAAGTGCAAAGTTGAAGCTTTGTCTAAAATACTGTACTGATTTAGAGAGTGCTATGTGACCTTAGGCAAATTATATGTCCTCTTTATTCCAAAGTGGGTGGCCATTTCTGTGAAGAGCAAAATAGCAAAGTGGTTAAAAATCTGGACTCCCAAGTCAGACAGACCAGAGAACAAAACAAATCTTGTTTTGTTCACATCTTAAGGTGCATGACCTTGGGATGTATAACCTCTTTAGGCCTCTATTTCCTCACCTGCAAAATAAGGATAATAACAAAACCAACTTTATAGGATTGTTGTGGTAACAAAATGTGATAATAAACATAAAGTGCTCAGCATAGTACCAAGCACATAGTGCCAGCAATGTGGATTATTTCATTGAGACTTCTTAATTACCTGTGGTGAGCAAAGCCTTTGTATTAGTTACCTATTGCTGCATAAGAAATAGCCTGAAAACTTACAAACATTTATTGTCTCGCACAGTTTCCGAGGATCAGGGATCTGGAAGTAGCTTAGCTGAGTGGTTTTGGCTCAAGGTCTTCTGGAAGGAGGTTGCTTTTGGTAATCTGTCAGCTGGAGGTGCAGTCATTTGAAGGCTTGATCAGGGCTGGAGGATCAGCTTCCCATCTCACTCAGATGGCTGCTGGCAGAAGGCTTTAGTTATCTGCCATGTATGCCTTTCCTTGGGACTGCTCATAACATGGCAGTGACTTTCCCCAAGGCAGTGACTTTTCCTCTTGGTTCCACTTCTCTTCTCTTATAAAGAGATGGCAAGTGAGACCAAGACGGAAGTCATAGTGTCTTTTATAACCTAATATGGGAAGGGATTTGCCATCACTTCTACCATATTCTATTGGTTACACAAACGAACTCTGGTGCAGTGCAGGGGAGGACTACACAAGGGTGTGAATGCCACGGGGCAGGGGTCACTGGGGAATCTTACAAACTGGCTACCACTGCCTTTGAATAGCTTTCCTGAGCAATGCCACAGTCACTCTTTTTTTTTTTTTTTTTTTTACTTTAATTTTAGATCAGAGCCAGGAGGCTTTGAAATGATTATAGTGGTTTATAATCTACCAGCAAATGAAAGGCATCTGAACATCAAAATAAATGTCTGAATGAGGTCTGCTGGCCACTCGGAAAGCATGTGGCTCCACATGCCTGAGAAATTCACAGCTGACTTTAGTAAAATCTTGACTTAAATATCCCAGCTCTGCACTTTCGCAAAGTGCAAAGGACAGAAGTTGTCCTTCTATATTAACAAGTAAGAATGGTTAACAGAAAAGACACGGTTTACAAATCTATATTTATGATTAGGGCCTGGCTAAAAAATAGCAAGAATGAACTGTATAACCTGGGAAGTCTAACTCTAGCAGGAAGTTACTTTGAAATAACATCATACTTCACTCGCTCCCCAACCGATGTCTTTGACGACTGGTTTGGACACATCCATAAAATGTCCTGTCACTTACCATATTTTATTTTCTTACAGTGTTTCCCACTGTTTGATAGTAACTTTAACAGTGCCTGTTCTTACAGCAACATTCACATTCTGATTTAGATTGCAACCAAGCAGATTGCCGTTTGGCTAAATTTCTTCCCCCAGTAAAGATTCTTATGGGCTGAGAGGTCCCATTAAAAGATCCCTAGAGAAAAATATGCAGCCCTTACTGGCTGAGATTTGTAGTTCTAGAATTTAGAAGAAAGCGGCTGGTTAACATTATAGACATTTTGAAGTACTTGTCTTTCAGAAATGCCAAGAACAATAGCAAGAAAAGCCCTTTGATGGCTCAGAATTTATTTTATTTTATGTACTTATTAATTGGAACACTTTCTCCCCCGTTTTAAGCAAAGATTCTGTACATTGAAATAATAAAATGAGCATAGACATGTGTCTGCTTTAAAATCTTGGTATTGGTTAGGTCTCTGTAGTCCTTTTTCATGCTTTCTGGGTAAAGGCTCTTTCTGTTCTCTCAGCCGGGCTGCACTTTGATCTCCCGAGCAGTGCCATTTGGTTGTAAACGTATGTGGTGCTTTTGATCTAGTACTTAACTGGTCTTATTTAAAATAGATAGCTTCTTTTATCTAACTAGTGTTTACTAGGTCTCTCTCTCCATAAAAGATGGTTTAAATTGCTATTATTTAGATAGAAGTTGTTTCTGAAGAGTGCCTGGATCTGAATCTAATTCTCTAAATTCTAAAACTCCAACAGCTCTATGATAGATTTTGTAAAGCTAAATTCCTATTAAAATGAGCTGTTCCTACAGATGTCAGGTAATACTTGCAAAAACGTTGTTTGCTTTTTAATGGGGAACTGATTTTCCAAAGAATAATAAACATACCCTACGCTCAGGCAAAAATGGTCATCTCAAAGTGTCTGACTGCAATGACCAATTATCCATCTGAAATTCATTAATATATTTTTATATGACTAAGTTACACATACCATAGACGGTTTATTGAAATTGCGCTCATTTAAAAAAAATAAAAAGTATATATCTTTCATTCTTTTCTTTACGAGGATCTCTTGAACATTATGTCTAGTGCTTCAGTGACTTGTTTTTTAGTTTCCTAGGCTGTATTGTTGCTTATTCAGCAAACTAGGTCACAGGAGGCGGGAGACAACTAAGTCATAGGCTCTGCCTTTAGGGAGCTCACAGCCAGGAGACGGTGGGAGCAGAGCATTAGCAAACAGTTACACTGCAGTGTGGTCAGTGCCTCCCTTGGACAGTAGTCCTCCAAGCCTAGACTTGAGAGTGGTCAAGGAAAGCTTCCTAAAAGAGATGGCACTCAAGCTTCAGTGAAAGATTGGTGACTCAATGTCCTATAAATTTTCAGCCAAGCCCATAACACAAAGCCAATCTACCTTGTCAAACCCATTCTGGTTTCATACAAGTTGCCTAAAACTTAGAAGAGGTCTAAACCTTGAATGGCCTTGCTGTCTAAAGCTTCCCCCAAAGCCTTCTTGTGTGTCAACACCAAGAAAAAAGAAAAAAAAAACTACTTTCCACACTCATTTTGGAACTTTAGCTCCATTCTTCATTCAACAGCTATATAGAAAATCACTCTTTGGGCCCAGCACTGTGGCTTATGCCTGCAATTTCAGCACTTTGGGAGGCCAAGGCGGGCGGATCACCTGAGGTTGGGAGTTCGAGACCAGCCTGACCAACATGGAGAAACCCCATCTCTACTAAACATACAAAATCAGCCAGGCGTAGTGGCACATGCCTATAATCCCAGCTACTCGGGAGGCTGAGGCAGGAGACTTGCTTGAACCCAGGAGGCGTAGGTTGCAGGCGTAGGTAGCCAAGATCACGCCATTGCACTCCAGCCTGGGCAACAAGAGTGAAACTCCATCTCACAAAAAAAATTAAAAAAAATAAAATAAATAAATCACTCTTTATTGTAAGTTATAATATCTTCTTCTGCCTGCCCTTAATTGTTCTGCTTTGTTAGTCTCCTGGCAAATGTTGTTTGTTTGGTTGGTTTTTGTTATTTTTTAATTTGTGTTTGTTTTAATTCTCCTCAGTGTCATGTTCTTGCCATTTCAAAAGTCTTGTAATTATTTCATCAACACACTCACCATGTACAAGCATCTCCAAGTGCTGAGCCTGGCTTAGCCAGTGGAGGATGCTCAAGTAATATACAAAAACAGTATGGAGAGTCCTTAAAGAACTAATAGTAGAACTACCATTTGATCCAGCAATTCCACTACTGGGAATTTACCCAAAGAAAAAAATGTCATTATATGAAAAAGACACGTGCACACTCATGTTTATAGCAGCACAATTTGCAATTGCAAAAATATGGAACCAACCTAAGTGCCTATCAACCAATGAGCGAATAAGGAAGATGGGGTACACCATGGAATACTACTTAGCCATATAAATGAACAAAATAATGTCTTTTGCAGCAACTTGGGTGGAGCTGGAGGCCATTATTCTAAGTGGAGTAACTCAGGAATGGAAAACCAAATATTGTGTTTTCACATATAAGTGGGAGCTAAGCTATGAGGATGCAAAGGCATAAGAATAATATAATGGACTTTGGGCACTTGGGGGAGAAGATTGGGAGGGGGGTGAGGGATAAAAGACTACATATTGGATACAGAGTATACTGTTCTGGTGACAGGTGCACCAAATTCCCAGAAATCACCGCATTCCCAGAAATCACCGCAAAAGAACTTATCCACATAACCTAAAAGCACCTGTATCCCAAAAACTATTGAAATAAAAAATAAAATAAAAAAAGAAATAAATATATGAGGGGGCCAGTGGCTCACACCTGTAATCCCAGCACTTTGGGAGGCCAAGGCAGGTGGATCGCTTGAGCCCAGGAGTTTGAGACCAGCCTGGGCAATATAGTGAGACCCTGTCTCTACAAAAAATACAAAAATTAGCCAGGTATGGTGCCAAGTGCCTGTAGACCCAGCTACTCAGGAGGCTGAGGTGGGAGGATCGCTTGGGCCCAAGAAGTGGAGGTTGCAGTGAGCTAAGATTGCACCACTGCACTCCAGCCTGGGTGACAGGAGAATCAGTCTTTAAAAACAAAAGTATATGAGGGCTCCTCCCAGGCCCGGAGGCTGGGAGAAGGGGTGGGCAAGAAGTTACCCATAGTCAAGGACACGGTCTTTACAATATATAGGCACTACTGTTCTAGAAGGTTTGAGGGAAAATCACAGAGGACTTGGAAACTGGCTTCAGGGCACTCCAACTAGGTTTGTGGAGATGGGGAGGAGAGACAGGTCTCTAGAGGACACGAGAGCATAAGTCTGGAGCGTTCCCGGGACAGTGCAGAGATAGTCAACAGAGGGCAGATAGGATGGAGGTGGGGATGTTGTGAAAGCAAATGAGAGGGATTTGGCTTTCTTTGTTTGGTGGCACAGAACCCTTGCTCTGTGAAACTGTAAAATGAAGCGTGGTATTTGCTATTTTTCCTTTTCTTTCCCATCAATCACCAAGAACTACTGATTCTGAGAATCATGCATTTTGGGTAGTAGGAGCCTTGGAGATCAGACAGCCTAGCCTCCCTATTTGTCCAATGAGAAGATTAGCTCCCAAAGTTCAGGTGGTCCAGGTTTCTAAGAAGCACAGTCAGGGGTGCCCGGCCACCCCACTGACCAGGACCCAGGCCTGGACTTCTCTTGTTTCCCCCTAGGAGTCCAAGATCCTAGACACTTATCCCTGGGTTCACAGGAGCCTGTAGGAGAGAGGCCATCAACTCCTGGGCTCTCCAAAAGGTATGGGCTCCAGGGACAGTCCAGTACTTATGGGGCTTGTCCCTCTATCTGCAACCCCAGGAACGATGCCAAACCAGAACTTGAAAAATGGGAGTTGTTAGTTGTTCAGAGGCAGGGAGGACAGAAAAGAATCAGGATGCATCGACCAGATCCATATGAGCCACAGAAAGCCAGTCTAGCAGGATGGAGCACAATATTATATTTGAGAGGAGTGAATTTTTTTTATGAGTCACTAATCATAGGCTGCCTATGGCCCTAACTTCAAGAAGGTTTGAATGCAGTATGTCCCAGCAAAACCGCATGGATTGAGACCAAGGGAGAAATCCTAGTCCTCAAGAAAATCAGGGAACTGTTACTAGAAGGAAGGTGGGGGACAAATGTTGCAAATGCAAAAGCAATAGATATTGACAGCAGCACCCTTGTACTAACCTGGAGATAAAAATGTCTGGCTGGCCTGTTCTCATAAGTGCTACTGTGTGCCAGGTATTTCCAGTGCTTCATCTATATTAACCAATTGATCCTAACCTCAACCCTACTATTATTCCCATTTTATAGAGGAGGAAATTGAGGTGCAGAGAGACTAATGAACCTACTCAAGGTCTTATAGTTAGTAAATGCCAGAGCTGAAAGCAGTCTGACTCTAGAATTTGTGTTCTTAATTATTGTTACAAGTATTTCCAGATTCCTTGCTTTTCTCCTTTCCTTACATTTTTTTTCTGAAATAGGGATTTGAGGAAGGCCCTGATAATGAATATAAATTATCTAGCACACAATAATAGCCATTATTAATTTATCATTACTCATTAATAGAGTATGCAAAGCTTCTGACATATAGTAGACATTCAATGACTATAAAATAAGACAATAAGTAATTGAAGATCAACCAAGACATTTGCACGAACTCTAGAGCTGAAGGAAAATCTGCGTGACCTTCAGGGAAATTAGCAATGTATATGAACAGAATAGATGCGGACAGTAAATGTATAAATAGAAATGTCCAGAGACCCATTGATGCAGGAGTGGAATGGTGAAATGCTAAATTCTCAAATGACTCCTTTTCTCCCTCCCTTCTCAAGTGCTGCTTAAGTAGAGCCGAGGCCAGGCGGGATGCAGCTAAAGTGGCCCTGATCAACTCCCTCTTCAATGAGCTGCCCTCTCGCAGGATCACCAAGGAATTCATTATGGAAAGTGTTCAGGAAGCAGTAGCCTCCACCAGCGTGAGTACCCACCATGGAGGGCAGGAGATGGCTGCACTGAGAATTCTGAAGCATTTGAATCTTGAGAGATGTTAACATGAGCAAATTCTTATTTTAAGAATTCTGTAGATTCAATTTTTACCCACTGAATTGTTAATTTTCAGAAAACAGAATACTTAAATTGGAAATCATAATATCACACATCTCAATAATATTTTTTAATCTCTCTGATCACAATTAATCATGTTTTAAATCAAGGTAGATCATTGGATCCACCTGGATATGTTTAAGTGAATGTTTACTTATTGAGGAGTGTTGATTCTTTTAGGGCCTGAGAACGCATACAGTGGAATACTGCTTTAATCTAGTGGAAAACGAGCTCCATTTTCCCCGAACTTGAAAGATCATGAAAATCATCTGAAGTGTTTACTGGAAGTGCGAATTCCCCAGCCAGTGTGGGGCCCTGCAATCTGCATTTTTAAGGAAACATGGACTGTTTAGACATGTGAAAAACCGTATGCCCAATATGTGTTAGCTATTAGAATTACCATGGTTAATATCAATTACCTCTTCAGAGAGCATTGAAAATTTCTGTAATTAACACAATTAAATGCAAAGTGCTTTAAGAGCAAAACACCCTGTCTTAAAAATTAGATAGGATTTTTTTTTAAGCAATATAAGACAGGATATTTGTCCCATGAATGATTTGGAGCTCCCAACTCCCATTGCTTCCAAACTATAAGCCAAGAAAGAAGCCTTCAGTCCCCACCTGTGGCAAGTATCGCCCTGTGTGTGCTCAAGGGCAGGAACCTGGCATTACCAAAGGGATTAGCCACCTCTGGTTTGCCTTTAGCACGGATAAACCCCACCTGAGATTTCCTTCTCTGTTTCCCTTAACTAGGAAGGCTCTGTCATTCTGGCGAAGCTGATGATGATGAAGGAAACACTATCAGACTAGATGTGACCCTTTTCCCCTCATAAATCTTCTTATCACATAAAGGAGAGATAAGGAAGGAGCAGGAGAAGAAGAGTGATTGACTTGGCTGGGAGATGCCAGGGAGTTCTGTTCTATATCTGGTCTGAGGATGAAAGGAAGCCTTTATTTTCCAGCCCTGTAAATTTCAAGTGCTTTTGAGGAAGAGAGGTTAGGAAAATTATGCCTGATTTATATAAGTGTGAAATTTACTCAGGAGCAGGGAAGGGCCCTCAGTGTAAAAGTAATTTATCATTTTTTAAATGGAAATTTCTAAGGAAACAGAATATACATGGTTGCATGCTTCTAGATGGATTTCCTCTGGGATATTTAAAAAGCCAACATAAATATTTCAGCAGCAGTGTGTTAATGTTATTGCATTCAAAAGCTATAAATTTGCTGCTATCTGTGCTGGCACTTGTTTGTTCCATCTCACAAAGTCACCATTGCCCACCTTCCCGGGAATCCGCGTCCATAGGATACGGAAGGGCTGGCCCAAAAGCCACGCCAGAGTCGTGTTAGCTTCTTAGCGCCATTCCCCACACCCAAATGGAAAGGGAATTTCATTTCTACCCATCACCCACCCACCTCGTTTCCTAGAGATTCAGTGGTACAGGACTGAAAAAATATAAACCATGATCCATGTCTCCAGGCTAAACACCAGCATATTACGAAAAGTTCCTATTAAGAATCACGGCAGTAAAAGCTGAATGGTCCATAAAACTGACAAATTCTTTCCATGTCAATTATGTAATCTTGCCTGGTTATCACTGGAATCAGAGCAAAGTCAGTGTTTCAAGATTTCAATAGCCAACGAAGGCAGTTTCGGAGCTCAGCCATGCAAATGTTAACACCACCACCACCAAAACCCTGTGCAATCGTACAGAAATGTCTTCTTTTGGAAAATTATTCTATCAGCGAGTATATAACAGTTAGTATTCTATCAAACGCTCAATTCAAATTGATGACAAAACTCTCAAATCTACTGGAGACTTGGTTGTGAACATCTGTTCAGGTTAGACCAAAAATAGGCTTACTGTGTGGTCACAGAATTAATTTGTGACCATTCAAAGAAGAGGAGGAAAAATCAGTAATTTTTCTTTTTCTGCTTTCTTTCCCAAGGGCACCTTAGATGATGCAGATGACCCCAGCACCAGTGTTGGGGCCTATCACTACATGCTGGAGTCAAACATGGGGAAGACTATGCTGGAGTTTCAGGTACCTGCCTGCCTGCCACATATTTGTTTGATTATCCAATCCAGAAGCCTAAGAGAAATGCAACATTTATCACTAACATCTCCCGACCCAATAATCTTTTGGTCTTAAGTGTTTTTGGTCATTTTAATCTAACCCTCCTGGAATCCAGCATGGTAGCCCCATCTCGGCCACACATCATAGGCGTAAACAAACACGCAATCAGGAAACAATCTTTGCTTTTATAAAAGAAAGTAAAACACAAATCTAAGAAATAAGGGATTCTGTAATGTTTCACCAGCTTTTCAGTACAAAGCTCCCCACTAAACCAATGATAACAGTTTGACATGTTGGTTGTTACCATTTGCTTCTTAATTTTCAGAAGTCCTATGACTTCTGAAAGTTCCTGCAGTGCACGTTAAACAATACCCTACTTGGGTCTGGTTTTCTATTAAACAAGTTCTGCCACTTCCTATCATCAATGAAATCAAAAAAATTAACAATCTGTAACTCTTTTTCATCCACTGCCGACAAATGATAACAAGAGTTGAGGAACTATATTACCTATTATTTCTAAAATATATTAGTAACAACAGCAGTAATAACAGCTGACATTTATGGATGCTTACTTTGGCCCGTGCTTAGCATTTAACAAATAGTGTCATAATTTAACACTCACAATAACTGTATGAGGTGGATAATATCGTTATCCTCATGTTATCATTGAAGCTAGGGTTCAGGGTCAGGCAGTCTGATCTCTGAGCTCACACATCTATTATCCTATATCAGGCTGGACAGATAGAATTTTAGTAGTGATTGGGCATGAAATGTGCTTCCCTTCAAAAAACTTAACTCCAGTGCAGTTGAACATCCATAAACATGCAATGCTGGTAGGAATCAGAATGCAATATAATAAAGAGACTTCACCTTAGAAATTGTTTTCTTAGGTTATATTCCAAGAAGCAATCAGAGGTATAAGGTTTTATGGGCAAAATGTTCCTCACGGTGTAATTTACAATGGTGAGCTGAGCCCTTCTGAAGCCACAACTTTCAAATACCTTCTTTGGTACCTTTCAAACTCCTTTCCTGACCCCAATGGCACAGCCACTTCTCAGATGGAAATGTCCCCATGCACATTATTAAAAAATAAATATTATTTTATTAGCCTTCTGTATGATTGCGGCAAAAATGCTCTTTCTTCACCCATCCTAAATCTTAGTTTTTCTTTTTTTTTTTTTTTTTCTTTTTTGAGACGGAGTCTAGCTCTGTCGCCCAGGCTGGAGTGCAGTGGCCTGATCTTGGCTCACTGCAAGCTCTGCCTCCCAGGTTCAAGCCATTCTCCTGCCTCAGCCTCCTGAGTAGCTGGGACTACAGGCGCCCACCACCATGCCCGGCTAATTTTTTGTATTTTTAGTAGAGACGGGATTTCACCGTGTTAGCCAGGATGGTCTCCATCTCCTGACCTCGTGATCTGCCCGCCTTGGCCTCCCAAAGTGCTAGGATTACAGGTGTGAGCCACCGTGCCCGGCCTTAGTCATCCAGTTTTATCCTTAAGTGGCCAAGGTCTTACTGACCTTTGACGTAGCCTGTCTTGGTTAGGAAGCAACAAAGTATCCTTTAAGCCTAGTGGATGGGGCACATGTCAGCCCAGTGGCTCTGACCCAGACTCTGCAGCGGGCTGGCCAGTTTGAGCCTGGCTCTTTTCCTTACCTCAAAATCTACTTCCTCGTTTGTATGTAAATCAGAGAGAATAACAGTACCTTCCTCACAGTGCTATTGTGAGGATTAAATGGGATGATATGCGTAGAGTCCAGAAGAGTGCATGGGGTATAATGAATGCTCAGTGAAGATGAACAACTATTATTAGATGTATTTCTGAAGGAATCTTTGCTTGAAATGCCAGAGGCTACTGGATGGATTCCGTTGACAACTCTGTCTAACCTAGCTCTATTTGAACCTACACAAAATGGTTCAGAGCCCCTATTGTAGGATAAAAGAGTCGATCTGTAAAAGGTCCTTTTTTTTTCATAACAATCTAAAACTAAACAGAGGAATAATACTTTTAAAAAGAGGTATTTTTTCAAGAGAAAGAATATAAACTTTAAAAAGTCATACAGACCTATGTGTGAAGTCTGCTCTACCACTTGCCATCTGTGAGCTTGTCCATTCTGAGACTCAGTTTTCTCATCTATAAAATAGGAATAATAATGCCCATTTTGTAGAATTTTTGCGGGATTTAAGTAGTGTAACATTTATAAAGCATCTGGCATAATGCTTCCCCTAAGCAGGAATTTCATTTAATTCCTGTTCCCCCTCCAAATAATATTGTAGTTCTTTTATTATGGAATGAACATTGCCTGCCCCAGTACACAGTAGCTTGTATGTGATTTAGCGCTATTTTTGGAAAAATTAAGAATGATTTTGAATGTGATTGGTTTAGTCTGCCAAAGATGGGGGAAGGTGAGATTTAAAAAAAAAAAAAAAGTCTTAAAATTCCTTCCAAGTACTATGAAAGGCTCTACTCAACCTTCTTTTAGTAATAGTTTAATTGCTTTGCATAGGCTATGTGTTTTCTGTGTGGTCTGTAGTAAGGTATTTAAATTTGTGAAATAATAATTTGAATCTTACTGTGGACATGCTTCATAAATTCTCCTAAAGGAGTCTGGATACAGGATGGAGACAAAGGAAGAGGAAGATGTGAGGGCAGGGAAAATCCAAACTCCCTTCCCTAGTAGGGATACTGGCAACCCAGGAGGAGGGCCTATGGAGCGCATCCCTTTTCCTTCCACCAGCCCTAGCTTGCCTGCTGGGACCTGGCACATTCCTTAGTGGCCTGGGTTAAATGCTTCTGCTTGTGTCTACACATAATGGGAATTGCCCACAGACCTGGGCTGTTTCTGCAGCCAACACAGCAATTCAGTACCCCTGGTGGGTAATAGATGTGTGTTTGTATCTAGCTATGGATGACTCTACCATATAAAAACAAGCTGGTGTCTCCAGACTGCCCTCGGGCTTTCGGGGCGGGGTGGGGGGGCGTCCTGCAGCCAGCACTCAGAGGAAACATGATAGGCCTCTGCTTACCTTCACTTCGTGGGAGGGAAGCCTGGATGCCTGTTTCGAGGTAGCTTTGCCACAGAGAAAATTGCCTGCTGTTGGTGGGGAAGGTTCGGAGCAGCACTAGTCACTGGGTCTTGTCAGGGTCAGATTCTAGGCAGACTTTGACTGAAGCTGGTTAATATATTTATTCTGAAGCCTAATGCAATCCAAGGAAGAGTTGTTTATTTACATCTTTGCTAAATTTTCCAGGTCGCCTTTTAAAACTTCATCCCATAAACAAATTTCCTCTTAAATCCATTCTCTTGGGTGGGGAGATGGTGCCCACCTCTTTTTCAAGTTCTCCATTTACAGTGTTTGTTTTTCTTATTTCTGATGAATCACAGAGCCAAACCCGTCTCCTAGAAAGAGTTCCAAAGAGAAGCAGTGAGCATTTTCTCTCCACAAGTAGCTGAAAAGCCCAACATTGTTTCTAACAGAGGCAACCCCAGGAAAGGCTGTGAGGACAGAGCCCCGTTGTTGTCTGTTTACATGAAATGAATGACAAAATAAACCAGGAAAGCTGTAGAGTGAGAGCTGCAACTGAAATTTTCCCCGAAGAGGAAAGAAAACACACAGCTTGATTCTTCGTTCTATATTAAATTTACTCCGCTGGTCAGGACCAGCTAGATAATTTGCCAGGCCCAGTGCAAAATGAAAATCCAGGGGCCCTTGTTCAAAAATTACCAAGAATTTCAAGATAGCAGAGCACTAAACAAAGCAGGGGCCCTGTACAGCTGCACAGACCTCATGCCCATGAAGCTGGGCTTGCCCCTGAGACAGAGCCACAAGAAGGGGACAGACAAGGGCTAGGCAAGTGACACATTTCTCTTGGGTACAAAATTGAAAGGGATGCTTAAAAACTTCATAATCAAGATAAATAATATTATAATGCATTATTTTTTAAACTCAAAATTCATGCCAAAAATTCACGATAAACAAAATATCAGAATTATAAATAAAAGACCATGAACATGTATAATTGGCCCCACTCACTTTAAACCTTGCCTCACCTGCCTCACCTGCCTCACCTGCCTCACCTTATGAGGCTAACTTGTTTTTCTGTTGGTGCAGCTGGGCCCCTCAGGCTTCCAGATTACCCCACAAACAAAACACCACACCCCAAAAGACTTCCGTGAGGACTATGACAGACCCTCACAGGAAAAGACAACACTAATTTCCTTTATTTAAAAAAAAATTTATATATATTCTTTTTTTTTTTTTTTTCTGAGACAGAGGTCTTACTATTTCGCCCAGGCTGGGCACAAACTCATGATCTTCCTGCCTCAGCCTCCCAAGTAGCTGGGACATTCCACAGCACCTGACTACACTAACTTCCTTTAGAGTAACAGAGCTTCTCCAGGTAGAATATGAGCCAGCGAACACCAGGCAGCAAAGAATCATGGGGAAACTAGTAAGCAGAACTCCACAGCAGCCCTCTCCTTCCCACTCTGCAATCATGCAAGGATTTCCAATGGAATCAGTCAGAGGCATGCAAAGATTTCCTGGAGTTGAGCCAAGAGCTAATAGTTTTGGGAAAATGTGAAGAGAGTGAATTTGGTCTTATGAGGGGAAATAAAGAAGTGAGACAAAAAATATGTGAAAATATTTAAATATACTTTATATAATGATGGCAAGATGAATATCTCTACAGAGGACAAAAACTAGATGGGGATATAATGTAAGAAGTTGGAAAGGAGGTCATCTTCCCTAGGGAATGTTAAGAACAAAAGCAACACTGAGGAAGTGGCAGTTGTGTTACTGGAGAGAAAAAAAAAGCTGCTTCGTGATGGGATAGAAATTTAGACAAACCAGAGGTGGTGAGGAGGTTGACCTTCATCCTGGAGACGAAAGCAGTTCAAGTCTCTTTGGGGACATTTTTGAAAGATGAAGGTTGTCAAGGGGCATGAGAAAGGGTTTTGGTTCTGTTCACAGAAGAGTTGTGAATTCTAAAGTCTTAGGAGATTTTCAGGGTGGAATGATAGTCCCTTATGGGGCGGGGAGAGCAGTTAGTGTATAGATAAGAAAAAGAGCCCAGAAGACCCCAGAGGAAGAATAGTATGTTTCTAAGTCAACAGTTATCAGAGGATGGAATTAAGAGCCCTGTTAGCAATAGGCTGTTTCTCAAACTGGGCCACAAGGATGCAAGAACAATGCCAAGATAGATAGCTATAGGAAGCCACAAAATAAATCCAGTATATGTGTCTGAGTTCTCAACTTTACATAAAGATTTAGGGTTGTGGGGGTCAAACGGAGGAGTGGAGTGATATTTATTTTCTTTTTTGTGATGGAGTCTCACTCACTTGCCGAGGCTGGAGTGTGGTATCGCGATCGCAGCTGACTGTACTCTCCGCCTCCCAGGTTCAAACAATTTTCCTGCCTCAGCCTCCCGAGTAGCTGGGATTACAGGTACCCACCACCACACCTGGCTAATTTTTTTATTTTTAGTAGAAACAGGTTTTCACCATTTTGCCCAGGCTGGTCTCCATCTCCTGACCTCAAGTGATCCACCTGCCGCAGCCTCCCAAGTGCTGGGATTATAGGCACAAGCCACCACACCTGGCCAATATTTATTTTCTCTTTTCTAAAAATGGACATACACAATAGAATGCAAAATTTGAGTGGATCTTTATAAGACATAAAACCAAAAAATTTTTCTTATTTACAAATATTGGCCCTCCTGTTACATCATAGAGACTGGTTCCCAAATATTAAAACAATCTTCCCATTCATTTTTATGGCTTCAAAGTATTCGGTGAGTTGGTTTGTTAGTATGGTAGGAAGGGCAACACAAATTTGCCCTTCTCAGCCACTGGGGCCACTTTGATGGAAAGCCTGAGAGGAACAGCAGTGACAGCCAGATTGGACGAGATTTGGTTTCTCGAACAAAGCACTCCCACTTTTTCAAATTAGCATACTGACGTGATGAAGTGAAAGTCTGAACAAGGGCAGGAAGATGTGGAGGAGAGGGGCCAGGAGGGGACAGCCATCCCTGGGCACTGGACCGAGGACCCTGTGCAGACAGGGAGGTCTCCATCTGGGGGCGGGCAGAAGGAGCAGCTCAGCTGGTATTCATGTGTGTTTTAATTAGCAGACACAAGTGGTTTTGCTTTTACTGAGGTGTCTGTGGGCTCTCAGAGTACTTACTGTGCAGTGAACTTAGACAGAATGCCAAACTGGATCTCTGACAGAAAAGAAGAAAAACATTTCATTCCAATGGCAATTTTAGACATGAGAGAAGTGCTATTTGCTCTTCTAATAATCTGATAGCTTTAAAATTTACCAAATAATTTTAAGATGCCTAAAACCTGACTATGAGTCTCCTGATTTTCATAAGAGAACCTCTTCCCAAGCAAGCAGATGTAAAGACAGTTAATTGAAGTCAGCTTTTTTGTTTTGTTTTAAGAGATAAAATATTATGTTGCCCAGACTGGTCTCAAACTCTTGGGCTCAATCAATTCTCCTGCCTCAGCCTCCCAAGTTGCTAGAACTATAGGCACACACCACCGTGCCCAGCTAAAAGCTTTTTTGAATGGACAGTAGGACATCTGTCTATGTTAAGTTTTCATAACTATTTTTTAAGACATGAAAGTTCCTTGATCATATAGAGTTATTTTTCAATAATTTCAATAACCACAGGCTATTAATCCACAATAGATGTATCTCTGACCAAAAAAAACTATAACTGAAATGCAAATAATTTCAGTGGAAAACTTCTAATTGTAACCGCATTAGGAAAATGAAAATCTTCAGTAAACTTATACACCTTAGCTTGCCTTTGATACCACAAAAGGCAAGGAAATGATGGTGCTGATAGTCTGAATGCTGTGCTCAGCCCTGGCTCTTGGATTTGGAAACCATGGGTGAGTTTGAATGTCAATACAACCTTATTGTCTATATTTCAAGGCATTTTTCTTGACTGAATTTATAAATTTAGGAGTATTGAGCAGTTTCTGTAGTTTGTTCATTATATGCTTTATATTGTCAAAAGACAAAATTACAATAAATTTAGTTTAACGATCTAGCTGACTTTTACTTGCAATTTTAGAATTGCATAACACCTCCTTCCGTAAAACAGAATGAGCGTTCCGATGAGCTGAGCAGAGGAAGTTGGCTTTAGGCAGAAAAGGGCTGAAGAAGGTAGAAACAGAGGACAAAAATGGATTGGTCATTTCATAGTTACTTCTCTTGTAAAGATTAAAGCAGAGGGGACTTCTTTATTATGCCGGCTAAAACTGGCTTGTTTGGGGATTTGGCTGTTATCTCTCTCTTTGTCCTGATTTCTAGGAAGCTCAGATAAACAGCTTAGTTTCAGCACGGCAATCTAGAACTTCAGCATGAGTGACTCCATTTTGATTTGATCTATTAAGCCTAATGCAGTAGCTCTGTCCAAACTAATGGCGTCCTATAAATGCTATTTAACTATATTTGTATATTTATTTTTTGGCTTAAAATTTTTAGAGTTAAATGGTTTTAAGATATAACATAGTCACATGATTCAAAACTCAGTAAGTTTTGCAAAATAATGTCACAAGAAGGTCTCCCTCCTACTCCTGTCCCCCAGGCATTCCTCTGGCATTCCAGAGACAGCTAAAGTTACCAGATCCTTTTGTATCTTACTAGAACTCTTCTAGGCATTTACAAGCAAACATGTATATAGCGATCTTCTTAAGCAAATAGTAGCACACATTACACACTGTTGTGTACCTTGTTTTATTTTAACACATCATAGAATTCTTTCTATTTAAACTTATGGAACGTTCTCATCCTTTCTTTATGATTGCAAAGTGTTCAGTAGTATGGATATATCATACTTTAGCCATTCCTCTAAAAGTGACCATTTAAGATGCTGTCAGTCTCGAGCAATTTTAAAAAATGATACAATGTAAAACCTTGCCTATACACTATTTCTCAGATATCCTGGTATATTTAAATAACTTCTTGTGTGTAGAACTCTTCAGTGTATTATTTTTAATGCTGAAAGACATTTGTCAAGTATTTAGTCATTTCATTACACAAGTAATGTAATGTAATGCTATGGATATAGCAAAGGAGGAAGAGAAGAATGTTCCAGAAGCCCTGGGACCCTGGGCTTGGGAAAGTCCCAAAGTGTTGTGACAATATTGTGTATTCTGTTTCCTGATATATTTGGGAATTAGAGTTATGCCCTGCTCAGCTCTCACCAATGCACATTTCTGCTTTGGGACCAATGATAGGTGTTTGGGTTTTGTAGGAGCTGATGACCATTTTCCAACTATTGCACTGGAATGGAAGCCTAAAAGCCCTTCGTGAAACAAAGTGTTCCCGACAGGTAAGATTTTCTAATCAAGTCTAAGTCTGTGTTATATGAACTCAGCAGGTGGCTTATCATCTTCCCAGGAGATTTCCTTTATTCGGATTTTTCCAAATATAAATTTGGTACCTTATTTATTAAGAGCAGAGGACACACAAAGAAATATATAGAACAGCCCCATTGAGTCAGGGACTGACAAATATACACACTAAAAAGAACGTGGGCACAGGACTGATTTAGATACCTGTACCGAATGCAAACCGAAAGGATCATAAAGGCAGACAGCTTCTAAATAAATCCTGGATCTACTCCATACACCTCCCCTGCCTCCTTGGAATGTGTGCCCTCTTGTACCTTCTGAGGCAGAAACTTGAAAATGCACTGCTTCTGAAACCTCGTCACTGGAGAGTGGCCAAGTTGGTGGTAGGAGAAGAGTATTTCCCATTCCTGCCAAAAGTCCCCAATAAACAACAGAAATGATTATAAAGTCTGACAAGCCGGCATTTAATCACTCCCATTTTTTTGGTTTAGAAGTTTCTTCTTTGTTTTTCAGAGACACGGTCTCACTATTTCTTTGTTATTTATGAGAAGCACCCTTCCCCCTTTTTTAATAGCTAATGTGAACCCCCTCCTGTGTATTTAATGGTTTTCACCTGTTGTTCTCCAAGATTTATCCTTCCTCTACCCACCGTTAGAATGTGAAAGATGGTAGTTTATTTCTGAGAATTTCCTAATAGGAATTTGTATGAGGAAGAAAGCCTCTGGGAGTCAGCAAGGTAAGGGTGGGTATAAGGAGCTTTCCATGCACTGCAGCCCCCTAGTTTTTAGTTGTTCTTTGCTTAGAAAGTCTAGGTTTCAGATGTCAAAGATGGAAAAGAAATGAGTAGCTGACAATGGCTTTGGTTTTGTTTTTTTTCCTTTTCCTTTGATTTTACAAAAGGCCTTTGAAATATGCTGGTTGGGTTATAAACACTTTTCCATGATTGTTTTTAATTTGTTAAGGTCATAAATGCATACCATATGTTCTTGAAAATAAAAATAAGCAGTGCATTCACTCCACATGATCAACTCTACATATGATGTTATTATGTATCGACAAATTTTTCACACAAGAATTGACAGGCAGTAACTAATTTTTAATTGTTTGTAAAAGTAAAAGACAATGTACCATGAAGGAATCATTATGATATCAATAATGGAGATGTCTACCTTCCATTATACATCTAAACTCCCTTCTGTATTTACTGTGGGACAGTTGGACCATCTCCCTTGTGCTAATACCACAGTTGATTCTCCTGGTTTCTAAATGATACTCTGAGATGCCCTTAACTAAGAGCTTCCTGCTTTCTTCAGTGGATTTGACCAAACCCCATTCTGCCCAAGACCCTCTGTAGTGCTACTTCCCTCTCTTTATCTTTCCAAAGGAAATAATGCTGGGCAACAGGGTTCAATGAATAAATGAGGTCATATTCACACCAATTGTTGTAGGAATGTATTTTCAGTGAACGGCTTGTATTTCTAGAGATGGCAGAGCTATGTTTGGTGAACATTATTGAGTCATTCCTGGTGGTGTGTTTTGACTCAACCTGGAGTGGTGTGCTTTGCTAGGCCAACTTAGCCTTTCATTTCCTTTATAGAAGTAAACCAGTGGGTTTTGGTTTCAGTTTTTGAACATGAGAGAGATGGGGTTGTTGATAAAACCCTAATGGATGTGGGAAGCAGGGGGAGGCATGTGGACGGGTGCCTTTGTTGCTTTTTATTGACACCCTGGACTTTGTTTCTTGGCCCCCAGGAAGTCATCTCCTACTATTCTCAGTATTCTCTAGATGAAAAGATGCGCAGCCACATGGCCCTGGACTGGATCATGAAGGAGCGGGACTCACCAGGAATTGTCTCTCAAGAGCTACGAATGGCCCTGAGGCAGTTGGAGGAAGCCAGGAAAGCAGGACAAGAACTACGGTTTTACAAAGAAAAGAAAGAAATATTGAGCTTAGCCCTGACTCAGATCTGCAGTGACCCTGACACTTCCTCACCCAGTGATGATCAGCTGAGCCTTACGGCCCTGTGTGGCTATCACTAGCAAGGCCAAGCCCCGGGTACCCTCAGTGATGGCAGAGGCCAGATTAACATTAGGAATCTCAGTGCAGAGGTCCTCAGAGGCTCCAGCATCTCTAGTACTACCTGAAGGCTCTCCTAACCCTCTCCACACATTCCATTTACAGAGTATGAGAGTCGTAGGACCCTTACAAGACCCAACAAGCCACTCGATGCATTTTTCTATCACATTCTCAATAGTTCCAGCTCAGGATGAAAGGATAGACACAAAATTGTTTGAAAAACATTTTCCAGGCCTGGCTCCAACCTAAAGCCTGACTGTCACGTGCCTTGCTTGATTTTATATATATTGTTTCAAGAATAGTCCAATATAGCATTCCCCAAATGAACAGCAGCCAGAATTAGGTGAAGTAGCATGATAGCAGTGTTTAAAAATACTTAGGATTAAATAAATAATATGGATTGTTTTAAAAAATATCCAAGGATCAGAGTCTCTTTCTAAGCTTTGTAAGCTAAGCAATAGTTTATGTCCTACTAGATACACTGCAAACTACAGTGGGGATTTTATCTGGACATCCCACCATCAAAGATCTTGAAATAGTAATAGTATGAAAATACTAGATAAAATTAATGTTTAAAATGTTTTTGTAACAATAATTTTTAAAACCCACACTCTTCCATATATGGGGATAAATATCACCTAGAAAAGTAGCCTCACTCTTATTCCTCAAGAATTAATATCCAATGTTTATGAGTCTTGCAATCAATTTTGTTCATTTTTAATTTGCAAATCGATAACCTGAACTAATTTGTTCTTATTTTTTGCCACTGCAAACATATATCTACAGAGAGAAAAATTAATGGCATTTTAAAGGTTAAAACATTTTGAAAAATTATTAGCATGTAACAAAGAATGCTTGCATTTGATTAGTTTCACCAGCATTTGAGAGAAGGACCCTTTAGCTCTGTTTGTTGTTCAAGAACATAAGCAACCAGTAGCTCAAATGTAGTATCATTATTAAGTTTAAGTCACTGGAATCTTCTTTAAAGGAAGGATAAGACATTGCCATCTCTATTTAACTCATCCATATGGGTCAATCAACTGATTAGAAAATCAAAAAACAATAAAAACTTTTTTTTTTTTTTTTTTTTTAGTAGAGACGGGATTTCATCATGTTGCCCAGGCTGGTCTTGAACTCCTGGGCTCAAGCCATCTGCCTGCCTCCACCTCCCAAAATGCTGAGATTACAGGTGTGAGCCACCATGCCTGGCCTAAACTAATTTTTAGATAGTTCCTGGTCACTCAAATTTAAGAATGTCAGCAATGTCAATTTTAAATGCTCATAGGTCTTTCCATATCTGTAACATGAAAATGATTATTCTGCATTTTATTCAGTAGTCCAAATTAAAGAAAATGTTTTTCTCAATTTAAAATAATTTCTTTTTCTTTTGTTTATGCAAGTGCATACATGCTTCACTGAAAGCAAAACCATTATAATTACATTAAAGTTTATAAAATATGATATTTTAACCTCATATCTAATAAGTATGTACAAAGGTAACCATCACTCCTTAAATCCACATGAAAACTACTGTAACTGATCATGTATTTTGGAATTAGACTTGATAATAAAAGATTATCATGTATCACATATCTCACACCAGGGGAACAATTAGCTACATAATTGTCATACCTTAATATCTTTTAAAGGTAACAGTAATTTTCAACACATTTTATTTTAAAATATTATTTTAACAAAAGTTACATTCCTCTCCACAATGAGGCTAAATGTCACCCACGAAAGAACTTTATTCCCTTATATTCCTGAAAAGAAATCAGAATTAACATTTTTATGTTGAATAAATTTTAAAATTTAGGAAATGTTCTATTTAAAGTTAATTTCTTTCATAAAGCCATTACTCTTTACATTGTCATTTCCAAAAAGCCACAATTTCCCATGCTGGATGTGATGAAAGTTAGGCACACCTTTACTGCATTAGCAGCCTTTGACAATGACTTCCTCAAACTGACACCATCTT
The DNA here is from genome assembly GCF_000001405.40 of Homo sapiens. Classification (NCBI taxonomy): domain Eukaryota; kingdom Metazoa; phylum Chordata; class Mammalia; order Primates; family Hominidae; genus Homo; species Homo sapiens. Next base: position 97,092,732 of record NC_000005.10, on the reverse strand, counting down.
AATTAGATGCAGGGACAGGGATCAGATGGGACAATATCAAATTTACTTTGTGCCCTACAAGTTAAAAACTGCACCCATTCTGTAAATTGAATATAGAGGTTCTCCCTTGGCCACTGTCAGCTTTTCTTGACTGGCCAAAACTGCCCATTCTTCCTGGAATGGTATGAAAGCTTCAGCAAAATAAATAAAAGTCAGAATCTTTGCTGGTCCCTTTAATGCTGATTTGATAGTAAATCAATTTCAGCTGAGACATAAGGGCTGTCAGTCTATCATATAAACATCTTTAACTATAGCCTAGAGAAAAGAGGGTTGAAGAGCAAAGCAGATTTTTTTTTTCCTTTTCTATATCTTGTTCTGAACAACACACTGTGATAAAGGGGACTAGAGTGGAAGATTCCCTATTTAAACACATGAAGCTCTGGGTCCTAGCCTTTTTTGGTTATAAGCCCTTTGAGAATCTGATAAAAGCTGTGGATCATCTCCTAGGAAAATAGAACAAAACATACATATTCACATTACACAGTTCCAGAGTATGTGGACCCCCCAAAGTCCAGAGATTGCCCTAGGGGATCTTTAGATTCTTGTTTAGAACTGTTGATTTTGAACACAACATACACTGTCAAACTTTACATCAGGGATCCAACATAACTCAGACATAGCCCAGGTAGCCTGTTTCTAACACAACTGTCATAATCCTGAAATCCAAAATTGCACTGTGTTTGACATGAGATAGTTTAAGTTCCACAAAATCCAAATTTACCATATTATTGTTTTTAAAAAAGCAGTTTAGAGCAAACTGTCACTAAACTTGGATAAATGGGTCAGAAAGTACAGATTTAATAAAGTCGTACCTCTAATGTTCAGAATTTGGTTGTCTATTTGTTCAAAAGCTATAGCTCACTCCTATTTTTGCTATTAAATTTATTTACCTATTTCTAGAAAAGGAAAAGAATTAAACCATAGATATTCCTGAAATGCTATACCTATATCAACTATGAATCTGATCAGTTAAGTCTCAGGAAAAACAGAATCAAAAGCATAAAGGTTTAACACTTTTCTGTTTCTTTAGAGAAAGTTTTCAAAGCCAGAGGCATTGTTGCAGTTGATTTTATCTCTAGCCGAGATGCTTTAGAGAATTCTGAGTTTTATCATGCCACGCCTTTCTTTTTATCCAAAGGACGAAAGAAGCCGGACTAAGAATATTTTTATGCTATATTCGAAGGTAAACATTAGTTAAGATGTTATCTCATATATTGTTGATTTTTTTTTTGTTTTGACTTACAGAAATGCAAATATCAAGATTTATTCTATACTGTCCATCCTTAAAGGCTAACATTAAGATTGTTTTTAAGCAAGGCTCTAGGAAAATGAAAATCCTTCTCCTTATAACAGTGGTTCTCAATTTTGGCTGCACATTAGAAATACCCAAGGAACTTTAAAAAACCCTAAATGTCCAGACTGTACCCAAACCAATGAAATCAGACTCTGGGAGTGGAGCACAGGCATCAGTATTTTCTAAAACTCCCCAGGCAGTTCTAGCACGCAGAAGGTTGATAACCACCGCTCTCTCCAGAAGTACTGGCTCAGAGGTCTATGCCTAACCAGTGGGAACTATTACTCCACTTGACCTTGGCCTCAAACTCAAATGTGGAGCTCTTCTGAGCCGCATAGGAGCACATTTTTTTGCTTGGATAAGAGGTCTCTCCTGGAACCCAGGACTAAACCAGGGCAAGAACATACACATGTGCATACATGTACAAACACCCCTCATCTGAGCAGGAGAGCCAGATTCTGCCCCAGGGTACAAGCTCTCTTTCTCAAATATAATAGATAACTATCTGCACCAGAATCATATAGGTTACTTGTTTAAAAATACAGCTTCCTAGGCTGCACCTTAGACCTTGCAACCAAATTCCAGGAGAGGGTCTGGATTATGTACCACTTCACCAGGTGTTTCTGATCACACTTCAGCTTGAGATCTTCTGGGACAAAGCTACCTAACACATCCTTTACTGGGCAGCAGAGCCCTGGCTTCTACAGAGAGAGCACAGAAAGGAATAAAGGAGTGTGTGAAAGGTTGCCTCTCCACCCCTCCTGGAAGCTAGGGAGAAGAAGGGGCAAAAAGATGTGTTGCATTTACCTCCCAAATGAGCAGCACGTGCTCTTTGATCACTTTGGCCCCAACATTTGGTATTACTTTTAATCCCTTTCCTAGAAACCATAAAAATATCTATCAGCTCATGGTTAAAGTCACTTTTTAAAATCTAACTAAGTCCCGGTAACACTTTCCTCTTTGGAGCAAGGTAGGTGGTGAAAAAGGCAAGCAGAAGCTTCTTTTGAGAGCTATTGATTCTCTAGTGTTGTTCGTTCCCAAGCAAAAGTCCCAGATTGCCACCTATTTATAGGCACTTCCCAATTCTATCCCCAACTGGGCTCCACAAGTCCATTTGTAAGTCAGTTAGTTCAACTGTGAGGATAATACATTTTTCTATAGGATCAAGGTCATAAATGGTGGTAAGTTTCCCAGACTAGCCTATACAGGTTGTGAGTGGGCAGAGGAAGGTACCACAAGGAGCAGCTGTGAGTCTAGGGCATCATATGGAAACACCTCCCTGGAGCGTAATTCTCAGTTTCAGACTGGTTCTCCAGACACTCCCTTTATTTTCTCTTTGTCCCCTCATAGATTTGCTTGCCAACGCCCCACCCATTCCCATGACCTATTGCCTTTTTTGATCATGGCTTCTTCTACTTTTGACTTGCTAAGGAAGAGATGATTTTTTTTTTCCTGCGTTTCCTACAAAACTTTTGAAAGTGTCTGAGTTAGTACCACTAGAAACAGCAACATTCGGGTGACATGAAAATGGCAGCCACTAAGCCTCTTCTCAGAGCCTATTTTCACCAGGGCCTGCAGGGAAAGACAGGAGCACACAAGGCAAAACTGTGTGGGACAGGCCACCCAAGGAGCCTGACCCAGTCACCCAGACCTCTAAGGTTCCTGCTTCTCTGTTGTTGGCTTCACGTGATGTTGCCCCATCCTGATCACAGCTAGCTACCCCATAGGCCAGCCAGTGATTCTGGGTAATCTGGCTCAAAACCACAAACTGGACCAATCAGTCTGTCCTCTCAGGGATGTGAACTAAAAATCACAGAAGGAATTGGCCAGTTGGAGTTGGGAGCTGAAGTGGGAACAGTCTGTCCATGAGAGCTGTGGTCTCTGCAGGTGGAAGGGATGAAGAAGCAGGAACCATGAGTCAGCAAGGGAAGCTGATCAGTAGAAGGGGGAGAAGTTGCTTGGTGTAGAGAGCAGATGCAGAGAGAGGCAGAGACAGGAGATGATGAGGCCCAGGAGGGCATGATGATGATGAGGAATCGCTGGCCTATGTGCCCTGCAATAACCTTTCCTTGGTTGCAAGGATCACATACCTCACAACCAGAGAAATCTCACTGTATTAGCCCATTTTCACGCTGCTGATAAAGACATAGCTGAAACTAGGCAATTTACAAAAGAAAGAGGTTTAATGGACTTACCGTTTCACGTGGCTGGAGAGGTCTCACAATCACGGTGGAAGGCAAGGAGGAACAAGTCACATCTTACATAGATGGTAGCAGGAAAAGAGAAAGAGCTTGTGCAGAGAAACTTCCATTTTTAAAACCGTCAGCTCTTGGGAGACTTATTCACTATCACAAGAACAGCAGGGGAAAGACCTGCCCCCATGATTCAATTATCTCCCACAGGGTCCCTCCCACAACACAGGGGAATTATGGGAGCTACAAGATAAGAATTGGGTGGGGACACAGAGCCAAACCATATCATCCACCTTACTCATTTCAGAGCAAAGCCCCATTTTATTATTCCAGTCTTTTCAACCTAAGAAAAGACCAAAAAAGCTGACACGAGGAGGACCTTCTTCAAGCAACAGAAATGCTGCTGAGAAAACTAGAGTTAGGACTGGTGCAGGGTTAACTTTCTCCTCACCTGCTGCCCCTTCACTCCAATGTTAGGTGTCACGCTGGTCAGGAGTCCTCCCCAGCTCTGAAATAAACACATGTATTATGTGCTAACCATACTGTCCTTGCTCCATACATAGAAATTCCTGTTTACTCACGTTCCACAGGAGATCTGACTACAGGAGGAAAACATAACTCTATTTTTACAGAGATAGAATTCATAGCCTCAACTATTTGTTGTCTTCTTCAAAAACTAATCATCTTGGGAAATAAATAACATGTTCTGACCACACTCAAGAGTGCTGTCTTTGCCAAAGACATTCCTGTCACTAACTCCTCCTTGAGAATGGCCCCCTGAGTCTGCATGAGCAAAGGAAGAAAAGCAGTCTCTTCTAGGCTGAAACACCTCAGCATCCTGAATGGACTAGTTCATTGCAGCATCTCGACTATTAGGCCCAGCACTTAGCAGGTGCTCAGTGTTGAGTAGAAATTTGTCATAAACGTCTTGATACCTTCCTTCTTCTCTTCTTGAGAAAGAACCTTACCTGGCTCCATTCTGCTGGTTTAGTCAGGACTCACTTGGTTGCAAGATTGAAGCCCAAATCAACCTACTAGGCAAATAGGGAGGTTACTGGCTCATGATACAAAAGAGTCCCAGCAGAGTTTCTGCTCCAGGTATATCTGGATCAAGGTGCAGAAATCAAGACTTAGTCTCATTATGTGGATATACACACATGTGCACGCTCTCATCGCTCAGGTCTTAAATCTGCTTCCTTTTATGTTGGCTCCATTTTTAAGCAGGCTCTTTGTAGCAGCAAGTGGAAGCCAGTAGCTTCATGCTTATATCATAGCAGAGTGAGAAATTCTCCTCCCAACAGTTAAAATCCAAGTACCAGAACTAAATGCCAGCATGCCGTTTCAGTCATGTGTCCATCCCTGAATCAATGACTATGGCCAGGCTCGTCACATGTCTGTGCTCTGGAACTGGTGGTCAAGTCAGCCTACCTAAACAACTTAGACCTGGTTGAGGAGTAGTCATTCAAGAAAGCCATGGGTTCAATTGCCAGGGGAAAATGTGGCCATTTCCCAAGAGATATTAAAAGCTATTTTCTCCTCGAGAGCCTTCAAAGACAGAATGAACGACAGAAGAAATACAGCCTCTCCAACCACAAGTTTGGACAGAGGCTTCTGGGTAGACAAAAACAACAGATGTATACTGTGAATACATTGTATCATTTCCAACAATCTAATCCATCCTCAAAGGACACACTTTGTCACCACTAACAGTGTCCAAAAGCACTTTCTGTCCAGAGGGCATCCAAAAATGCTTCCAGACCAATCACACACCGGAATAAGCATACGGGTTCCCTGAGGACTGTCCTGAAGGGGACAGTGCTCATTTGTATGTAAGAGTTTTGTTGTGCAGAGAAACCTAATCACTCCCATTACTCTGCAGTCACACTTCATATATCTTCAGTGCTGATGAACTGTTGTTATGCAAGTGAGTCAGGAAATTTCCTCTGGTCTATTTCTAGCGGGCCCTGGCTTCCATTATCAGTGGCTACTAATACCTTAATAGGAAAGAAAACAGTTGATCCCAACAAGTAAATACAGTTGTAGCGAAACTGGACAGTTCAACAGCCTGGATAGTTTGTTTATCCCCTCTTGCTACTAAGCCAGTTGCAAACCTTAACTATGACTCTACTCTGACCCATGAGTCCCGACTCAGGCAGTCATAAAATGATTTGGGGAACGATTTATTCTGAGGCGATCCACTGTGTATCTCTCAGATATTTCCATATTTTCCTGTAGTGATTTTATAGATGATGTCTAAAAGTTAATAGGGAGTACTTGGCACAATCATGTTTTCACATGGAAATTTTGAAAACGCAAGTGACTCTATGAGGTTCCAGATTGCCAGGTAAGTTAAAAAGTCATCCTGACACTATAATTAACTGAAACTAAAAAGGGGGAGATGCTTTACCTTTTCAGTTAATCTTTTCTCTCAAATGACCTGGGAATTTTATTCATTTGCTTATTTATTTATTGTGGCTATTTGGATTAAAACAATTTTTTTGGTCACAAAGCCACCAAAGCAAACAAATAAAAAAATAGGGGAAACAATTTTAATTCTCTTAAAAGCCAAAATACATTTGCTTCTGATGCCTCACATAAACATATTTGTTAAAGAGTAGGTTTAGTAAAATAGAGAATTTAAATTAAGACCACTTTCCTTCATCCTGCCTTTCATCTACAACATTCTTATTGGCAACATGTTTTGCAACCTTTTTCTTTTTTTTTCAGACATCCAAGGACAGTGTCTCCTTGTCCCGTTCACCAATTGTCTATGAAAAGCCAAGGGGGCTTGGCTCTCACTCCACTGAAAAGAGGCTTCCACAGGCTGCATCTCACCACATGGGCAGCTTCATCCCAGGCATTGCAGGTGTCACAACATTGACAGTAGGATTCACAGGATCTAAAATAAATGGCCTAAAAAGCAAGAAAATTAAAAACCAAAACTGTCAATTTCTAAAATCTATTTCTCTCTCTATTTATGTGTGTATATATATAAAATATATAATATATATAATATGTAATATATATTATATATTATAGTTTTGGCTGCATCCCTACCCAAAATCATCATGAATTGTAATAATCCCCACATATCAAGGGCAGGACCAGGTGGAGATAATTGAATCATGGGTGCACTTTCCCCCATACCATTCTCATGATAGTGAGTTCTCATGAGATCTGATGGTTTTATAAGGTGCTTTCCACTTTGCTCAGCTCTCACTTCTCCTTCCTGCCTCCATGTGAAGGACATGTTTGCTTCCCCTTCTGCCATGATTGCAAGTTTCCTGAGACCTCCTCAGCCCTGCGGAACTGTGAGGCAATTAAACCTCTTTCCTTTATAAATTACCCAGTCTTGGGTAGTTCTTTATAGCAGTGTGAATGGACTAATACAATATATATGTATGTGTATGTATATAGTTACGAGAGGTGACAGCATGCTGGCAGCCCTTGCTCGCTCTTGGCGCCTCCTCTGCCATGTTGCCCACTCTGGCCACATTTGAGGAGCCCTTCAGCCCCCCGCTGCACTGCGGGAGCCCCTGTCTGGGCTGGCCGAGGCTGGAGCCGGCTCCCCCTGCTTGCCGGGAGGTGTGGAGGGAGAGGCGTGGACGGGAACCGGGGCTGCAGGGTGGTGGAGCTCGTGGGCCAGCGCGAGTTCCGGGTGGGCACGGGCTCCGCGGGCCCCACACTCAGATCGGCTGACCGGCCAGCACCACCAGCCCCAGGCAGTGAGGGGCTTAGCACCCGGGCCAGCAGCTACGGAGAGTGTGCTGGGTCCCCCAGCACTGCTGTCCTGCCTGCGCCGCACTTGAATTCTCGCGGGGCCTCAGCCGCCTCCCCACGGGGCAGGGCTCGGGACCTGCAGCCTGCCATGCCCGAGCCCCCCGCGGTGTGCTCCAGCAGCAGGCTGGAGCCTCCCTGACAGGCGCCACCCCCTGCTCCAAGGCCCGGTCCCATTGACCGCCCAAAGGCTGAGGAGTGCAGGTGGGCGGTGCGGGACTGCTACCTGACAGCACTAGTGGGCAGCTCCGCCCTTGGCCCCGGTGCCGGCTACACTAGGCAAAGCCAGCTGGGCTCCTGAGTCAGGTGGGGACTTGGAGAACTTTTATGTCTAGCTGGAGGATTGTATATGCACCAATCAGCACTCTGTGTCTAGCTCAAGGTTTGTAAATGCACCAATCAGTGCTCTGTGTCTAGTTAATCTAGTGGGGGCTTGGAGAACTTTTATGTCTAGCTAGAGGACTGTAAATGCACCAATCAGCACTCTGTGTCTAGCTCAGGGATTGTAAACGCACCAATCAGCACCCTGTCAAAATGGACCAATCAGCTCTCTGTAAAATGGACCAATCAGCAGGATGTGGGCGGGGCCAGATAAGGGAATAAAGGCAGGCTGCCCAGGCAACCTGCTCAGGTCCCCTTTCACACTGTGGAAGCGTTGTTCTTTCGCTCTTTGCAACAAATCTTGCTATTGCTCACTCTTTGGGTCTGCACTGCCTTTATGAGCTGTAACACTCACCATGAAGGTCTGCAGCTTCACTCGTGAAGCCAGTGAGACCACAAACGCACCATAAGGAAGAAACTCCAAAAACGTCCGAACGTCAGAAGGAACAAACTCTGGACACACCATCTTTAAGAACTGTAACACTCACCGCAAGGGTCCGTGGCTTCATTCTTGATGTCAGTGAGACAAAGAACACACCAATTCTGGACACAGTTACACGGTTAGAAGAGCACACCAGGGTTCAAAGAAAGAACTTAGTTAAGGAAAGGAGTCTCTGGGAAGAAGAGAGGAAGTCCATGGAGGGCTAATCATACCTATCATGAAACAGAAGCTCCTGATTCTGCCCCTCTAACTCTCCTCATTTTTCCTTTTAACCTGAGCCATTTCTTTTCTAGATTCAACCTTCAATTTCCTTCTCATGTTGTTGTCTATTTACACATTCTATTCATTCTATTCAAATTACTCTTAATTCACGTTTGAGAATTAGAGCTTTGGGGAAGTAATCAAAGGAAATTGATTTTATGGTAATTAAGGTCTCCTCATTTACATGTACTCCCAATAAAGCTGTGCTTTGTTGCAGTCTCTTTCTTGGTAGCAGAGATGTATCTTATATCCAAAGAACACACAAAAAAATAGATGGTTACCTTGTGTTTCTGGCTAACCTTTACAAAAATGAGGAATTTGGAATGATAGTGTCTGTACCAGTGTCAATTTCTGCATATTAAACCGAAAGTTTGAGGACTGCTCTCATTCCCTGCCCCGGGCTGAAGAACAGGGGCTGTGATTCCAGTCCCCAGATGTAATTGTGAGGAGCTCCCTCATGTAAACAGGAGGGGATTCTCCAGAACCTAGGCACAAGAATGAAGGGTTAGTACCTGGTTCAATTAACCCAGGGAAAAATTCAAGCTCAACAGGCATTCTACAGAAGAAATTCCAGTTTTCAATCCCAGTACTTACCGAACCATGGTAAGATTTTCACCAATCAGATTGGAAAACTATAATTAGAATGTCCATCATTGCACGCCTGTAATTCCAGCACTCTGGGAGGCCGAGGCGGGCGGATCACGAGGTCAGGAGATTGAGACCATCCTGGCTAACACGGTGAAACCCTGTCTCTACTAAAAATACAGAAAATTAGCCAGGGGAGGTGATGGGCGCCTGTAGTCTCAGCTACTCGGGAGGCTGAGGCAGGAAAATGGTGTGAACCAAGGAGGCGGAACTTGCAGTGAGCCGAGATCACACCACTGCACTCTAGCCTGGGCGACAGAGCGAGACTCTGTCTCAAAAAAAAAAAAGAATATCTATCATTGGTGAGTCTGTGAGGAAATGGATCCTCCAACAGTGTTGTTGAGAGTGTCTTTTTTGAGTCTTTTTTGGAGCCAACTCTATTAAAATTGGATATGTTCTGTCCCTTTGGCCCAGCATTTTTCACCTCTATGAATTCATCCTGGAAAACCACTGCTGTAAGTGCTCAAGATATGTCAAAAGAATGTTTTTGTTTAATTGTTCATATTAATAAGCATTGGAATGTTCCTCATTAGGAAACTAGTTTCAGGACACATTTCTTCCTGTGCTCTCCAATACAGTAGCTACTAACCACTTGAAATGAGGCTAGTCTGAATTGAGTACACACTGGATTTTGAAGATATGAAACAAAAGGTAAAAACATTTCATTAACTTTTATGTTGATTGAATGTAGCAGCAATAATATTCTGGGTATACTGGCCTAAATATATTACTAAAATTAATTTCACCTTTTTAACCTTTTTAATGTAGCTATTAGAATGTATAAAATTGCATATGTGACTTGCATTTGAACCTTGCACTATATTTCTCTTAGACAGCACTGATCTGTACTATGCAGTCACTAAAAGAAACTAGATCTCTATATATAGATACAAAAATAAAATATCCACTATAGATTAATTGAAAAACAATTTTAAAAGAAATACATGAAGTAAAAATCCAGGTTTTTTTTGGTTTTTAAAAAATTAGGCATATAAAAAATAAATTTGTAGGAATACACTCGAAACATTATTGAGAAGGTGGGGATTAGGAGTCAAGAAGGAAGCTTTTTCTACACTAAGTAGATTTTTTTTTTAAGAGCGAAAGATAGAGATACATTTGCAGAAATTTCTGTCTACTCAAAACAATTCATAGTCCCTATTCTTTCAATGTTGCACTTTTCCTTGTGGTCTCTATGTTGCAGAGAGGGTTGTTTCTCAGAGATGTTTGCTTAATACAAATAACCTTCCCCTCTGTATCCCAGAAGGGAAATAAGGACTAGTCCCCAGAGAACAAGCAGGCAGTCTTCAGAGAGGGATCCCCAGTAACTTACAAGGGGTGACAGAGTCTTTCTGTCAGGAGTCAGCGACTCTCCCTGCCCATCGAGTCAGCAGTAATCAGGTATAATCAGGTGAAGAGGAGAGGTAGTAACCAGCTGGACAACCTAGGCAATAGGAAAGTGTGAAAATGAAAGAGATTTCCCACCAGAGGATCCACAGAAAGGTTGTACCAGTCAAATGCAGTCTTGTGCTTCTCTTTTGAGATGAGGGTACCGTACATGGGTTTGCAGTTTTCACATAAAAATTGGATTGATACCAAACATTTGTGCCGTTTATGTACACCAGGAAAAAATTACATTAAAGCTGATGATTAAAAACAAACTCAAGGGAGAAAAAAAAAGTGAAAACCAACATATAGTTTCAGGATTTCCTGTTGGTTGATTTCCAAATATGCGTTTTACTGACTTGGCATTCACTGGCCACAGAAATCACTTTTGATGATATTGTAAGGGTAGAAAAGGTTTTTCTCAATCCTCTTAGGGTCCCTAGCTGGTTCTGAAAAAAAAAATCAAACTAATAAAGATAGATCAATAGGAGAAAAACACACAAATTTATTTATTTACTTTAATTACTATGAAGTCAATTTCCTTTGATTACTTCTCCAAAGCTCTAATTCTGAAATGTGAATAAAGAGTAATTTGACACAAGAGCCTTTATAAGGAAATGAAGATCCAAAGACAATGTTGAAGCTGAGTGTTTTTTATAGTAGGCTTAATAAACATTAAACTATTTTACCTCACATTTAATAGCATGTTTACATATATATCGACATAGTTCTGACTTGTGTCCATATTACTTTGTATTCTATTTTAATCATTTAACATTATTTCTTGCACACATCTTTCTATGTGTTACCATGTTTCCAAAACTTGTCTTGAATGGTATTTCATCAGTGAGTTTATTTGCTCTTCAGGGAAATTTTTGGTTTTCCCAGTTTTCATTATCTTTAATATTAGATTGGTGCAAAAGTAATTGCAGTTTTGGCAACTATTTTTATGCACTTTTCTGAACCTACTTTTTTCAAAACAATTATTTTTAATTTTCATGGGTACATAGTAGGTGTGTATATATATATATATATATGTGGTATATGGGATATTTTGATACAGGCATACAATGTATAATAATCACATCAGGGTAAATGGGGCATCCATGATCTCAAGGCTGAACCTACTTTTTTACAATTTTTTTTTTTGTCTGATTTGTTTTCTCCAATGATAGCTCTTCTGGGTAGTTCCAAACTCTCTTTTTAAATCTTTGAGTTCTTTTGTTTATGATATATACTTGTCATGAAATAAAATGCTGCCCAGGCTAGAGTGAAGTGGCACAGGCGTGACAGCCTTGAACTCCTGACCTCAAGCAATCCTCCCATCTCAGCCTCCCAAGTAGCTGGGACTACAGGCGGTCATCACTGCACCCTGCTCTATGACATACTTTTAATATAAATGACCTCAATTTCTTGTTTTATACCAAATAAGCAAACATTTTCTGGAGTAGAATTAACTTGACAAATTGTTTGAATATTTAAAAATTCTTAACACACAATAAATACTTAATACATGTTACTAGATAATTCTTCAAAAATAGAAAACCAATTAGAGGACTGTAACATATGTGGCCCAGTTTCCCCACAACGTCACCTTTCTTAAGGGTTAGAATTATTGTTATCGTTATTTTAACAGGTAAGTTTCTTCTTGAAGGTCTATAAATGCTCTCCACCACACACACACACACACACACACACACACACAAAAAAAAAAAAAAAAAAAAAAACATTTTAAGAAGTGTTTCAAAACCACACCTGTCATCTGACCAAAGATCTACGCAGGCAAGAAGCTTTATTTCTTTGTCCTTCTGTTTTTCTATTTTCACTAGTAAATTGTTACTCAAACAAATGAGGAAGATACACAGAATATTTAGAGATGCTTAGAGATAGGAGTCAATTATATAGAAGTAATGTATGTTTTTACAAATGACTAATGTTAACATCAATGTTAAGCACAAAAATATACAAAGAGTAAGCAGAGTATGTCATTCAGATTAACAAATAAAGATTATTAGCAACTTTATACAAAGCCAAAGAAGACATAGTCCTTGTAGAAAATGGCTCTATATAAATGTGTTATAGTAAATCCCCATCTCTATTTCTGCCAAATGAAGAATTCATACAAATATATTCAAATTTTCTGTTTATCAAGTTTATCTCAAAATATTCAAACTAGTCCCTGTGTCTCCCTCATATCCCTTCGCCATTGCTAGATTTTGTTGTAACCAAAGGGGAGGAAAGACACTAGAATAGTGTTACAAGAAAAACTTTAGCCGAATTAAATTTAAAGGTGTTTAACTGAGCAATGAGCGATTTGCAAATCGGACAGCCTCCAGAATCATAGCAGATTCAGGGAGACTCCAGGGATGCCTTGTGGTCAGAAGAAATTTGTAGAAAAAAAAGGCAGTGATGTACAGAAATTGGAAGTGAGGCACAGAAACAGCTGGATTAGTTACAGGTTGGCGTTTGCCTCATTTAAACACAGTTTGAACACTCCAGCAGTGTGTGAGTGGTTGAAGTATGGCTGCTGTGATTGGACAGGACTCAGCGACTGTTACAGACACACATTCCTAAGTTAGATTTTCAATCTTCTCTAGCTATTAAGTTAGGTTGCCAGTAGTCCACAAGGACTCAAATATAGAAGTACGGAGTCCTTCTCAGGCCCCATTTAGTTTGCTTTAACAATAGGCGCATGCTGGTCATCCCGTGGAAGGCCACCCTGCCTCTAGTAGAACAGCTACAGCAAAAGGAGAACTTAAGCACAAACATTAAACTGCCCATTCAAATAGTGCTGAGAGTTTCTCTTTTCCTTTTA